>NC_000022.11:16054318-16279672 GCF_000001405.40 Homo sapiens
TGTCTAGATTTTATGTGAACATATTTCCTTTTCTACAATAGGCTACCAAGCGCTACAAATGTCCACTTGCAGATTCTACAAAAAGAGTGTTTCCAAACTCCTTAATCAAAAGAAAGGTTCAACTCTGCGAGATGAATGCACACATCACAAAGATGTTTCTCAGATTGCTTCTGTCTAGATTTTATGTGAAGGTTTTTCCTTTCCTAGCATAGGCAGCAAAGTGATCCAAATGTCCACTTGCAGATTCTACAAAAAGATTGTTTCAAATATGCTCAATCAAAAGAAAGTTTCAGCTCTGTGAGATGTATGCCTGCATCACAATGAAGTTTCTCAGAATTCTTCTGTCTAGTTTTTATATGAAGATATTTCCTTTTCCACCATAGGCTTCATGGCACTCAAAATGTCCACTTGTAGATTCTACAAAAAGCGTATTTCAAAACTGGTCCTTCAAAAGAAAGGCTCAACTCTAGGAGATGAATGCGCACATCACACGGAACATTCTGAGATTGTTTCTGTCTAGATTTTATGTGAAGATATTTCCTTTTCTACCATAGGCTGCAAAGGGCTCCAAATGTCCACTTGCAGATTCTACAAAAAGAGTGTTTCCAAATTGTTCAATCAAAAGAAAGATTTAACTCTGAGAGATGATCACATGCATGAAAAAGAAGTTTCTCATAATTATTCTGTCTAGTTTTTATGTGAATATATTTCCTTTTCCAACACAGGCCTCAAAGTGCTGCAAATGTCCACTTGCAGATTCTACAAAAAGAGAGTTTCAAAACTTCTCAATCAAAAGAAAGTTTTAACTCTGTGAGATGAATGCACACATCACAAAGAAGTTTCACAGATTCCTTCTGTCTAGATTTTATGTGAACATATTTCCTTTTCTACCATAGCCGCAAAGCACTCCAAATGTCCAATTGCAGTTTCTACAAAAAGAGTGTTTCCAAACTGCTGAATTAAAAGAAAGGTTCAACTCTGTGAGATGAACGCAAGCATCACAAAGAAGTTTCTCAGAATACTTCTGTCTAATTTTTATGTGAAGATATTTCATTTTCCATCACTGGCCTCAAGGAACTTGAAATGTCCACTTGAAGATTCTATGAAAAGAGGATTTCAAAACTGCTCCAACAAAAGAAAGGTTTATCTCTGGGAGATGAATGCACACACAACAAAGAAGTTTCTCAGAATGCTTCTATCTAGTTTTTATGTGAAGATATTTCCTTTTCCACCATAGGAGTCAAAGCGCTACAATTGTCCACCTGCAAATTATACAAAAAGAGAGTTTCAAAACTGCTCAATCAGAAGGAAGGTTTAACTCTGTGAGATGAATGCACACATCACAAGGAAGTTTCTCTGATTGCTTCTGTCTAGATTTTGTGTGAATATATTTCCTTTTCAACCATAAGCCACAAAGCACTATGAATGTCCACTTGCAGATTCCACAAAAACAGTGTTTCCGTACTACTCAATCAAAAGAAAGGTTCAACTCTGTGAGATGAAAGAAGTTTCTCAGAATTCTTCTGTCTAGTTTTCATGTGAAGATATTTCCTTTTCCACCATAGGCCTCAAGATGCTCCATATGTCCACTTGCAGATTCTACAAAAGGAGAGCTTCAAAACTGCTCAAACAAAAAAAAGGTTCAACTCTGTGAGATGAAACCACACATCACAAAGAAGTTTCTCACATTGCTTCTGTCTATATTTTATATGAAGATATTTCTTTCTGTACAATAGGCTGCAAAGCGCTCGAAACGTCCACCAGCAGATTCTCCAAAAAGAGTGTTTCCAAACTGCTCAGTCAAAAGAAAGTTTCAAATCTGTGAAGTGAACGCACACATCACAAAGAAGTTTCTCAGGATTCTTCTGCCTAATTTTTATGTGAAGATATTTCCTTTTCCACCATAGGCCTCAAAGCACTCCAAATGTCCACTTGCACATTTTACAAAAAGAGAGTTTTGAAACTCCTCAATCAAAAGAAAGTTTTAGCACTTTGATGTGAATGCATACATCAAAAAGAAGTTTCTCAGATTGCTTCCATCTAGATTTCATGTGAAGATATTTCCTTTTCTGCCAAAGGCCAGAAAGCGCTCAAAATGTCCACTTGCAGATTCTACAAAAAGAGTGTTTCAAACCTGCTCTATCAAAAGAAAGGTTCAACTCTGTGGGATGAATGCACACAACACAAAGAAGTTTCTCAGAATTATTATCTCTAATTTTTATGTGAAGGTATTTCCTTTTCCAACATAGGCCCCAAACTGCTCCAAATGTCCACTTGCAGATTCTACATAAAGAGAGTTTCAAGACTGCTCAATCAAAAGAAAGATCTAACTCTGGGAGATGAATGCACACATCACAAAAAAGTTTCTCAGAAATCTTCTGTATAGTTTTTTTGGGAAGATATTTCCTTTTCCACCATAGGCCTCAAAGCGCTCCAAAATTCCACTTGCTGATTCTACAAAAAGAGTATTTCAAAACTACTCCTTCAAAAGAGAGTCTCAACTCTGGGAGATAAATGCACAAATCACAAAGTTGTTTCTCAGAATTCTCCTGTCTAGTTTTGTGTGAAGATATTTCCTTTTCCACCACAGGCCTCAAAGCTCTCCAGATGTCCACTTGCAGATTCTACAAAAAGAGTGTTTCCTAACTGCTCAATCAAAAGAAAGTTTCAACTCTGTGAGATCAATGCTCACATCACAAAGAAGTTTCTCAGAATTCTTCTATCTAGTTTTTAGTTGAAGATATTTCCTTTTCCACCATAGGCCTCAAAACCCTCCAAATATTCACTTGCAGATTCTAAAAAAAACAGACTTTCAAAACTGCTCAACCAAAAGAAAGGTTTAACTCTGTGAGATGAATGAAGACATCACAAAGAAGTTTCTCAGATTGCTACTGTCTAGATTTTATGTGAAGATATTTCCTTTCCTACCATAGGCCACAAAGCGCTCCAAATGTCCACTTGCAGATTCTACAAAAAGAGTGTTTCCAAACTGCTCAATCAACAGAAAGGTTCAACTGTGTGAGATGAATGCACACATCACAAAGTAGTTTCTCAGACTGCTTCTGTCTAGATATTATGTAAAGATGTTTCCTTTTCTACAATAGGACACAAAGCACTCCAAATGTCCCCCTGCAGATTCTGGAAACAGAGTGTTTCCAAACTGCACAATCAAAAGAAAGTTTCAACTCTGTGAGATGAATGCACACATCACAAAGAAGTTTCTCAGAATTCTTCTGTCTAGTTTTTATGTGAAGATATTTCCTTTTCCACTATAAGCCTCAAAGCACTTCAAATGTCCACTTGCAGATTCTACAAAAAGAGAGTTTCAAAACTGCTCGTTCAAAAGAAAGTTTTAACTCTCTGAGATGAATGCAGACATAACAAAGATGTTTCTCAGACTGATTCTGCCTAGATTTTATGTGAGGGTATTTCGTTTTCTACCATAGGCCACAAAGCTCTTCAAATGTCCAATTCCAGATTTTAAAACAAGGGTGTTTCCAAACTGCTCAGTCAAAAGAAATGTTCAATTCTGTGAAATGAACGCATGCATCACAAAGATGTTTCTGAGATTGCTGCTGTCTAGATTTTATGTGAAGAAACTTTCTTTTCTACCACAGGCAGCGAAGCGCTCCAAATGTCCACTTGAAGATTCTTCAAAAAGAGAGTTTCAAAACTGTTCAATCAAAAGAAATATTTAACTCTGAGAGATGAACACACACATCACAAAGAAGTTTCTCAGAATGCTTTTGTCCAGTTATTATGTAAAGATATTTCGTTAACCACCATATGCCTCAAAGCACTTCAAATGTCCACTTGCAGATTTTACAAAAGAGAGTTTCAAAACTGCTCTATGAAAAGAAAGATTCAACTCTGTGAGATGAATGCACACAGCACAAAGAAGTATGTCAGGTTGCTTCTGTCTAGATTTTATGTGAAGATATTTCCTTTTCTACCATAGCCCGCAAAGCACTCCAAATGTCCACTTGCAGAGCCTACAAAAAGAGTGTTCCCAAACCGCTCAATCAAAAGTAAGGTTCAACTCTGTGAGATGAACGCACACATCACAAAGGAGTTTCTCAGAATTCTTCTGTCTAGTTTTTATGTGAAGATATTTCCTTTTCCACCACAGGCCTCAAAGCCTTCCAAATGTCCACTTGCAGTTTGTAAAAAAAAGAGAGATTCAAAATTGCTCCATTAAAAGGAAGGTTTTACTCTGTGAGATGAAGGCATACATCACAAAGATGTTTCTCAGATTGCTTCTGTCTAGATTTTATGTGAAGATATTTCCTTTTCTACCATAGGCTGCAAAGCACTCCAAATGTCCACCTGAAGATTCCACAAAAAGAGTGTTTCCAAACTGATCAATTAGAAAAAAGGTTCAACTCTGTGAGATGAACACACACATCACAAAGAAGTGTCTCAGAATTCTTCTGTCTGGTTTTTATGTGAAGATATTTCATTTTCCACCATAGGCCTCAAGGCGCTCGAAATGTCCACTTGCAGATTCTACAAAAAGTGTATTTCAAAACTTGTCCATCAAAGAAAGTTTCAACTCTGGGACATGAATGCAAGCATCACAAAGAAGTTTCTGAGAATGCTTCTATCTCATTTTTTTGTGAAGATATTTCCTTTTCCAACATAGGTCTCAAATTCCTCCAAATGTTCACTTGCAGATTCTACAAAAAGAGAGTTTCAAAATTCCTCAATCAGTAGAAAGGTTTAACTCTGTGAGATGAATGCACACATCACAAACAAGTTTCTCAGATTTCTTCTGTCTAGATTTTATGTGAAGTTATTTCCTTTTCTACCATAGGCCACGAAGCACTCCATATGTCCACTTGCAGATTGTACAAAAAGCTTGTTTTGCAAACTGCTCAATCAAAAGAAAGATTCAACTCTGTGAGATGAAACCATGCATCATAAAGAAATTTCACGTTATTGTTCTGTCTAGATTTTATGTGAAGATATTTCCCTTTACACCATAGGCCTCAAGGCGCTCAAAATGTCCACTTGCAGATTATACAAAAATTGTATTTCAAAACTGGTCCATTAAAAGAAAGGTTTAACTGTGTGAGATGAATGCATGCATCACAAAGAAGTTTCTCAGGTTGCTTCTGTCTATATTTTATATGAAGATATTTCCTTTTCTAACATAGGCCGCAAAGCGCTCCAAATATCCACTTGCAGAATCTACAAAAAGAGTGTTTCCAAACTGCTCAATCAAAAGAAATCTTCAACTCCGTGAGATGAATGCACGCATCAGAAAGATGTTTCTCAGAAATCTTCTCTCTAGTTTTTATGTGAAGATATTAAGTTTTCCACCATAGGCCTCAAAGCGATCCAAATGTCCACTTGCAGATACTACAAAAAGAAAGTTTCAAAATTGCTCAATCAAAAGAAAGGGTTAACTCTGTGAGATGAATGCACACATCACAAAGAAGTTTCTCCGATTGCTTCTGTCTAGATTTTATGTGAAGATATTTTCTTTTCTATCATAGGCCACAAAGTGCTCCAAGTGTCCAATTGCAGATTCTTCAATGAGGGTTTCCAAACTGCTCAATCAAAAGAAAGGTTCAACTCTGTGAGATGAAAGCACGCATCACAAGGAGTTTCTCAGAAATCTTCCGTCTAGTTTTTATGTGAAGATATTTCATTTTCCACCATAGGCCTCAAAGCACTGCAAATGTCCACTTGCAGACTCTACAAAAAGAGAGTTTCAAAACTGCTCAATCAAAAGAAAGGGTTAAACATGTGAGATGAATGCAAACATCAGAAAGAAGTTTCTCAGATTGCTTCTGTCTAGATTATATATGAAGATATATCCTTTTCCACCATAGGCCTCAAAGCGCTCCAATGTCCACTTGCAGATTCTCCAAAAAGAGTGTTTCTAAACTGCTCAATCAAAAGAAAGGTTCAACACTGTGAAATAAATGGACACATCACAAAGAAGTTTCTCAGAATTCTTCTGTCTAGTTTTTATGTGAGATATTTCCTTTTCCACCACAGGCCTCAAAGGTCTCCAAATGTCCACTTGCAGATTCTACAAAAAAGAGTCTCAAAAATGCTCAATCAAAAGAAAGTTTTAACACTGTGAGATGACTGCACACATCACAAAGAAGTTTCTCAGATTGGGTTTGTCTAGATTTTATATGAAGATATTTCCTTTTCTACCATAGGCCACAAAGCACTCCAAATGTCCAGTTGTAGATTCTACAAAAATCATGTTTCCAAACTGCTCAATCAAAAGAAAGTTTCAACTCTGTGAGATGAACCCACATATCACAAAGACCTTTCTCAGAATTTTTCTGTCTAGTTTTTATATGAAGATATTTCATGTTCCACCATAGGTCTCCAGGCACTCGAAATCTCCACTTGCAGATTCTACAAAAAGCGTATTTCACAACTGATCCATGAATAGAAAGGTTCAACTCTGGGAGATAAATGCACACATCACAAAGAAGTTTCTCAGATTGCTTCTGTCCAGATTTTATGTGAAGATATTTCATTTTCTACCAAAGGCCACAAAGTGCTCCAAATGTCCACTTGCAGATTCTACACAAAGGGTGTTTCCAACCTGGTCAACCAAAAGAAAAGTTCAATTCTCTGAGATGAATGCACGCATCACAAAAAAGTTTCTCAGAATTTTTCTGTCTCGTTTTTATGTGAAGATATTTGCTTTTCCACCATAGGCCGCAAAGCGCTCAAAATGTCCACTTGCAAATTCTACAAAAATAGAGTTTCCAAACCGCCCCATCAAAAGAAAGCTCTAACTCTGTGAGTTGAATGCACACATCAAAAAGACGTTTCTCAGATTGCTTCTATTAGATTTTATGTGAAGATATATGCTTTTCTACCATAGGCCACAACGCGCTCCAAATGTCAACTTGCAGATTCTACAAAAAGTGTGTTTCCAAACTGCTCTATCAAAATAAAGGTTCAACTCTGCGAGATGAACGCACACATCACAAAGGAGTTTCTCAGAATTCTTCTGTCTAGTTTTTATATGCAGATATTTTCTTTTCCACCATAGGCCTCAAAGCGCTCTAGATGTCCACTTGCAGATTCTTCAAAAAGAGAGTTTCAAAACGACTCAATCAAAAGAAAGCTTTACCTCTATGAGATGAATGTACACATCACAAAGTAGTTTCTCAGATTGCTGCTGTCTACATTTTATGTGAAGATATTTTCTTTTCTACCATCGGCCACAAACAGCTCCAAATGTCCACTTGCAGATTCTACTAAAAGAGTGTTTCCAAACTGCTCAATCAAAACAAAGTTCAACTCTGTGAGATGAACGCACACATCACAAAGAAGTTTCTCAGAATTCTTCTGTCTGGTTTTTATATGAAGATATTTCCTTTTCCTCCATAGGCTTCAAAGTGGTCCAAATGTCCACTTGCAGATAATACAAAAAGAGAGTTTCAAAACTCCTCAATCAAAAGAAAGGTTTAACTCTGTGAGATGAATGCACACATTACAAAGTAGTTTCTCAGATTGCTTCTGTCCAGATTTCATATGAAGTTATTTCCTTTCCTAGAATAATCTGCAAAGTGATCCAAATGCCCCCTTGCGGATGATACAAAAAGAGTGTTTCCAAACTGCTCAATCAAAAGAAAGGTTTAACTCTGTGAGATGAACACACGCATCTCGAAGAAGTTTGTCAGAATTCTTCTGTCTAGTCTTAATGTGAAGATATTTCCTTTTCCACCATACGCCTCAAAGCGCTCCAAATGTCCACTTGCAGATTCTACGAAAAGAGAGTTTCAAAACTGCTCAATCAAAAGAAAGGTTTAACTCTCTGAGATGAATGCAAACATCATAAAGAAGTTTCTCAGATTGCTTCTGTCTAGATTTTACGAGAGGATAATTCCTTTTCTGCCATAGGCCACAAAGCGCTCCAAATGTCCACATGTATATTCCACAAAAAGAGTGTTTCCAAACTGCTCAAACAAAAGAAAGTTTCCACTCTGTGAGATGAACGCACACATCACAAAGAAGTTTCTCAGAATTATTCTGTCTAGTTTTTATGTAAAGATATTTCGTTTTCCACCATAGGTCTCAAAGCGCTCCAAATGTCCACTTGCAGATTCTACAAAAAGAGAGTTTCAAAACTTCTTAATCAAAATAAAAGTTTAACTCTGTGAGATGAGTTCACACATCACGAAGAAGTTTCTCAGATTGCTTCTGTCTAGATTTTATGTGAAGATATTTCATTTTCTACCATAGGCCACAAAGTGCACAAAATGTCCACTAGCAGATTCTACAAAAAGAGTGTTTACAAACTGCTCAATCAAAAGAAAGATTCAACTCTGTAAGATGAACGCACACATCTCAAAGTAGTTTGTCAGAATTCTTCTGTCTAGTTTTTATGTGAAGATATTTCCTTTTCCACCATAGGCCTCAAAGTGCTCCAAATGTCCACTTGCAGGTTCTACAAAAAGAGAGTTTCAAAACTGCTGAATCAAAAGAAAGGTTTAACTCTGTGAGATGAATGCACACATCACAAAGAAGTTTCTCAGATTTCTTCTGTCTAGATTTTATGTGAAGATATTTCATTTTCTACCATAGGCCACCAAGCGCACCAAATGTCCATTTGCAGATACTACAAAAACAGTGTTTCGAAACTGCTCAATCAAAAGAAATGTTCAACTCTGTGACATGAACGCACGCATCTCAAAGAAGTTTGTCAGAATTCTTCTGTCTAGTTTTTATGTGAAGATATCTCCTTTTCCACCATAGGCTTCAAAGCGCTCCAAAGTCCACTTTCAGATTCTACAAAAAGAGAGTCTCAAAACTGCTCAATCAAAATAAAGGGTTAACTCTGTGAGATGAATGCGCAAATCACAAACAAGTTTCTGAGACTGTTTCTGTCTAGATTTTATGTGAAGATATTTCCTTTTATACAACAAGCGGCAAAGGACACCAAATATCCACCTGCAGATTCTACAAAAAGAGTGTTTCAAAACTGCTCAATCATAAGAAAAGTTCAACTCTATGAGCTGAAAGCACACATCACAAAACCTTTCTCAGAATTCTTCTGTCTAGTTTTTATGTGAAGATATTTCCTTTCCACCATAGGCCTCAAAGCTCTCCAAAATTCCACTTGCACATTTTACAAAAAGAGAGTTTCAAAAATGCTCAATGAAAGGAATGGTTCAACTCTGTGAGATGAATGCTCACATCACAATGAAGTTTCTCAGATTGCTTCTGTTAGATTTTATGTGAAGATATTTCCTTTTCCACCATAGGCCTCAAAGTGCTCCAAATGTCCACTTCCAGATTCTACAAAAAGAGTGTTTCCAAACTCCTCAATCAAAAGAAAGGTTCAACTCTGTCAGATGAACTCATGCATCACAAAGAAGTTTATCAGAATTCTTCTGTCTAGTTTTTATGTGAAGATATTTTCTTTTCCACCACAGGCCTAAAAGTGCTCCAAATGTCCACTTGCAGATTCTACTAAAAGAGAGTTTCAAAACTCCTCAGTCAAAAGAAATGTTTAACTCTGTAAGATGAAAGCACACATCACAAAGAAGTTTCTCAGATTGCTTCTGTCTATATTTTATGTGAAGATATTTCCTTCTCTACCATAGGCTGCAAAGCACTGCAAATGTCTATTTACAGATTCTACAAAAAGAGTGCTTCCAAACTGCTCAATCAAAAGAAAGGTTCAACTCTGAGAGATGAATGCACGCATCTCAAAGAAGTTTGTCAGAATCCTTCTGTCTACTTTTAATGTGAAGATATTTACTTTTCCACCATATGCCTCAAAGCTCTCCAAATGTCCATTTGCAGATTCTACAAAAAGATAGCTTCAAAACTTCTCAAGCAAAAGAAAAGTTTAACTTTGTGAGATGAATGCACACATCAGAAGGAAGTTTCTCAGATTGCTTCTGTCGAGATTTTATGTGAAGATATATCATTTTCTACCATAGGTCACAAAATGGAACAAACGTCCACTTGCAGATTCTACAAAAAAAAGTGTTTTCAAACTGCTCAATCAAAAGAAAGGTTCAACTCTGTGAGATGAACGCACACATCACAAAGAAGTTTCTCAGATTGCTTCTGTGTAGGTTTTATGTGAAGATATTTCTATTTCCACCATAGACCTAAAAGAGCTCCAAATGTCCACTTGCAGAGTCTACAAAAAGAGAGTTTCAAAACTGCTCAATCAAAAAAAAGTTTTAACTCTGTGAGATGAATGCACACATCACAAAGAAGTTTCTCAGATTGCTTTTGTCTAGATTTTATGTGAAGATATTTCCTTTTCTACCATAGGCCTCAAAGCGCTCCAAATGTCCACTTGCAGATTCTACAAAATAGTTTCAAGGCAGCTCAATCAAAAGAAATGTTTAACTCTGTGAGATGAATGCACACATCACAAAGAAGTTTCTCAAAATGCTTCTGTCTAGTTCTTAAATGAAGATATTTCCTCTTCCACCATAGGACTCAAAGGGCTCCCAATGTCCACTTGCAGATTCTACAAAAATAGTGTTTAAATCTGCTCAATCAAAAGAAATGTTCAACCCGGTGAGATGAATACACACAACACAAAGGATCTTCTCTGAATGATTTTGTCTAGTTTTTATGTGGACATATTTCCTTTTAAACCATAGGCCTCAAAGTGCTTCAAATATACACTTGCAGATTCCACAAAAAGAGTTTTTCGAAACTGCTCAATGAAAAGAAAGGTTCAAATCTGTGTGAAGAATGTACACATAACAAAGAAATTTGTCAGAATGTTTCTGTATAGTTTTTATGTTAAGGTATTTGCTTTTCCACCATAGGCCTCGAAGAGCTCCAAATGTCCACATGCAGATTCTACAAAAAGAGTGTTTCAAAGCTGCTCAATCAAAAGAAAGGTTCAACTCTGTGACATGAATGCGCAAGTCACAAAGAAGTTTGTCAGAATGCTTCTGTCTAGTTTTTATGTGAAGATATTTCCTTTTCCACCATGGGCCGCAAAGCGCACCAAATGTCCAAATTCAGATTCTACAAATAGAGTCTTTCAAACCGCTCAATCAAAAGAAAGGTCCATCTCTGTGAGATGAATCCACACATCTCATTGAAGTTTTTCGAATGTTTCTGTATAGTTCTTGTGTGAAGATATTTCTTTTTCCACCATTGTCTCAAAGCGCCAAGAATGTCCACTTGCAGATACTACAGAAAGAGTGTTTCAAAGTTGCTCCTGTCCGATTTCTTCTGTCTATATTTTATGTGAACATATTTCCTTTTCTACCATAGGCCACTAAGTGCTCCAATTGTCCAACTGAAGATTATTCATAAAGTGTGTTTCCAAACTGCTCAATCGAAAGAAAGGTTCAAATCTGTAACATGAAGGCACACTTCTCAAAGAAGTTTCTCAGAATTCTTCTGTCTAGTTTTTATGTGAAGATACTACGTTTTCCACCATTGCCTCAAAGCGCCAAAAATGTCCCCTTGCAGATACTACAGAAAGAGTGTTTCAAAGTGGCTCAATCAAAAGAAAGTTTCAACTCTATGAGATGAATGCACACATCACATAGAAGTTTCTCAGAATCCTTCTGTCTAGTTATTATGTGAAGATATTTCGTTTTCCACCGTAGGCATCAAAGCGCTCCAAATGTCCACTTGCAGATTCTACAAAAGGAGTGTTTCAAAACCGCTCAATCAAAATTAAGGTTCCACTCTGCGAGATGAATGCACACATCACAAAAACTTTGTCAGAATGCTTCTGTCTAGTTTTGTGTGAAGATATTTCCTTTTCCTCCACAGGCCTCAAAGCTCTCCAGATGTGCACTTGCAGATTCTACAAAAAGAGTGTTTCAAAACTGCTCTATCGAAAGTTAAGTTCAACTCCGTGAGACAAATGGCAACTCCATGAGATAAATGACAAATAAGCTTGTCAGAATGCTTCTGCCTAGTTTTAATGTGAAGATATTTCCTTTTCAACCATAGGCCGCAAAGCGCGCCAAATGTCCACTTGCAGATTCTACAAAATGAGAGTTTTCAAAACTGCTCAATTAAAATAAAGTTTCAGCTCTGTGAGAGGAATGCACACATCACAAATCAGCTTCACAGAATGCTTCCATCTAGTTCTTAAATGAAGATATTTCCTTTTCCACCATAGGCCAAAAAGCGCTCCAAATGTCCACCTGCAGATATTGCAAAAAGAGTTTTTCAAAACTGCTCAATGTCTCTTCATGTCCTTCGCCCATTTTTTGATGGGGTTGTTTGTTTTTTTCTTGTAAATTTGTTTGAGTTCATTGTAGATTCTGGATATTAGCCCTGTGTCAGATGAGTAGCTTGTGAAATTTTCTCCCATTTTGTAGGTTGCCTGTTCACTCTGATGGTAGTTTCTTTTGCTGGGCAGAAGCTCTTTAGTTTAATTAGATCCCATTTGTCAATGTTGGCTTTTGTTGCCATTGCTTTTGGTGTTTTAGACATGAAGTCCTTGCCCATGCCTATGTTCTGAATGGTAATGCCTAGGTTTTCTTCTAGGGTTTTTATGGTTTTAGGTAGAGCATTTAAGTCTTTAATCCATCTTGAATTGATTTTTGTGTAAGGTGTAAGGAAGGGATCCAGTTTCAGCTATCTACATATGGCTAGCCAGTTTTCCCAGCACCATTTATTAAATAGGGAATCCTTTCCCCATTGCTTGTTTTTCTCAGGCTTGTCAAAGATCAGATAGTTGTAGATATGTGGCATTATTTCTGAGGGCTCTGTTCTGTTCCATTGATCTATATCTGTGTTTTGGTACCAGTACCATGCTGTTTTGGTTACTGTAGCCTTGTAGTATAGTTTGAAGTCAGGTAGTGTGATGCCTCCAGCGTTGTTCTTTTGGCTTAGGATTGACTTGGTGCTGCAGGCTCTTTTTTGGTTCCATATGAACTTTAAAGTAGTTTTTTCCAATTCTGTGAAGAAAGTCATTGGTAGCTTGATGGGGATGGCATTGAATCTGTAAATTACCTTGGGCAGTATGGCCATTTTCATGATATTGATTCTTCCAACCCATGAGCATGGAATGTTCTTCCATTAGTTTGTATCCTCTTTTATTTCCTTGAGCAGTGGTTTGTAGTTCTCCTTGAAGAGGTCCTTCACATCCCTTGTAAGTTGGATTCCTAGGTATTTTATTCTCTTTGAAGCAATTGTGAATGGGAGTTCACTCATGATTTGGCTCTCTGTTTGTCTTTTGTTGGTGTATAAGAATGCTTGTGATTTTTATACATTGATTTTGAAGGACATGAACAGACATTTCTCAAAAGAAGACATTTATGCAGCCAAAAAACACATGAAAAAATGTTCACCATCACTGGCCATCAGAGAAATGCAAATCAAAACCACAATGAGAAACCATCTCACACCAGTTAGAATAGCAATCATTAAAAAGTCCGGAAACAACAGGTGCTGGAGAGGGTGTGGAGAAATAGGAACACTTTTACACTGTTGGTGGGACTGTAAAGTAGTCCAACCATAGTGGAAGTCAGCGTGGCGATTCCTCAGGGATCTGGAACTAGAAATACCATTTGACCCAGCCATCCCATTACTGGGTATATACCCAAAGGACTATAAATCATGCTGCTATAAAGACACATGCACATGTATGTTTATTGTGGCATTATTCACAATAGCAAAGACTTGGAACCAAACCAAATGTCCAACAATGATAGACTGGATTAAGAAAATGTGGCACATATACACCATGGAATACTATGCATCCATAAAAATGATGAGTTCATGTCCTTTGTAGGGACATGGATGAAACTGGAAATCATCATTCTCAGTAAACTATCGCAAGAACAAAAAACCAAACACCGCATATTCTCACTCATAGGTGGGAATTGAACAATGGAACACATGGACACAGGAAGGGGAACATCACACTCTCGGGACTGTTGTGGGGTGGGGGGAGGGGGGAGGGATAGCATTGGGAGATATACCTAATGCTAGATGACGAGTTAGTGGGTGCACTCCACCAGCATGGCATATGTGTACATATGTAACTAACCTGCACATTGTGCGCATGTACCCTAAAACTTAAAGTATAATAATAATAATGAAATAAATAAATAAAAACTGCTCAATGAAATAAAGGTTCAACTCTGTGACATGAATGCACACATCACAAAGAATTTTCTCTGAATGATTCTGTCTAGTTTTTATGTGAATATATTTTCTTTTCCACCAAAGAACTCTAAGCGCTCCAAATGTCCAATTCTAGATACTACAAAAAGAGTGTTTCGAAGCTGCTGAATCAAAAGAAAGGTTCAAATCTGTGAGATGAATGCATGCACACATCACAAAGAGTTTCTCAAAACGCTTCTCTCTAGTTTTTATGTGAAGATATTTCCTTTTCCTCCATAGGACTCTAAGCACTCCAAATGTCCAATTCTGGACGCTACAAAAAGAGTGTTTCAAAACAGCTCAATCAAAAGAAAGGTTCAAATCTGTGAGATGAGTGCACACATTACAAAGAAGTTTCTGAGAATGCTTCCGTCTAGTTCTTAAGTGAAGATGTTTCCTTTTCCACCACTGGTCCCAAAGCACCCCAAATGTCCACTTCCGGATTCCACAATAAGAGAGTTTCCAAACTACTCAATCAAAAGAAAGGTTCACCTCAGTGAGATGAATGCACACATCACAAAGAAATTTGCCAGAATGCTTTTGTCTAGTCTTTATATGAAGATATTTCCTTTTCCACCATAGGCCCCAAAGGGCTGCAAATGTCCACTTGCAGATCCTACAGAAAGAGTGTTTCAAAACTGCTCAATCAAAAGAAAGGTTCAACTCTGTGAGATGGATGCACATTTCACAAAGAAGTTTCTCAGAATTCTTCTGTCAGGTTCTTAAGTGTAGATATTTCCTTTTCCACCACAGGACTCAAAGCTCTCCAAATGTCCACTTGCAGATTCTACAAAAAGAGTTTCCAAACCACTCTATCAAAAGAAAATTTCAACGCTGTGAGATAAATGCACATATCACAAAGAAGTTTCTCAGAATGCTTGTGTCTAGTTATTATGTGAAGATATTACCTTTTCAACAATAGGCCTCAAAACGCTCCAAATTTCCACATGCAGATTCTACAAAAAGAGTGTTTCAAAGCTGCTCAATCAAAAGAAAGCTTCAACTCTGTGAGATGAATGCTCACATCACAAAGAATTTCTCAGAATGCTTCTGTCCAGTTTTTATGTGAAGATATTTCCTTTTCCAGCATAGGCGTCAAAACACTCCAAATGTCCACTTACAGATCCCACAAAAATAGTGTTTCAAAACTGCTCAATCAAAAGAAAGGTTCACCTCTGTGAGATGAATGCACACATCACAAAGAATATTCTCAGAATGATTGTCTAGTGTTTATGTGCAGATATTTCCTTTTCCACCATAGTCCTCAAAGCGCTCCAAATGTCCAATTGCAAATCCTAAAAAAAGAGTGTTTCAAAATTGCTCAATCGAAGGTAGGGTTCAACTCTGTGAGGTGAGTTCTCACATCACAAAAAAGTCTGTCTGAATGCTTCTGTCCAGTTTTCATACGAAGATGTTTCCTTTTCCACCGTAGGCCTCAAAGCGCTCCAAATGTCCACATGCAGGTTCTATAAAAAGAGTGTTTCCAAACTGCTCAAGCAAAAGAAATGTTCAACTCTGGGATATGAAAGCACACATCACAAAGAAGTTTGTCAGAATGCTTCTGTCTAGTTTTCATGTATAGATGTTTCCTTTTCCACCATAGGCCGCAAAGCGCTCCAAATGTCTACTTGCAGATTCTACAAAAAGATTGTTTCAAAACTGCTCAATGAAAAGAAAGTTTCAACTCTGTGAGATGAACGCACACATCACAAAGCAATTTCTCAGAATGCTTCTGTCTAGTTCTTAAATGAAGATATTTCCTATTCCACCACAGGACTCAAAGGGCTCCCAAAGTCCACTTGCAGATTCTACAAAAAGAGTGTTTAAACCTGCTTAATCAAAAGAAATATTCAACCCGGTGAGATGAATGCACACAACACAAAGGATTTTCTCTGAATGATTCTGTCTAGTTTTTATGTGAACATATTTCCTTTTAAGCCATAGGCTTCAAAGAGCTTCAAATGTATACTTGCAGATTCCACAAAAAGAGTTTTTCAAAACTGCTCAATGAATAGAAAGGTTCAAATCTGTGAGAACAATGCACACATAACAAAGAAGTTTATCAGAATGTTTCTGTATAGTTTTTATGTAAAGGTATTTCCTTTTCCACCATAGGCCTCAAAGAGCTCCAAATGTCCACATGCAGATTCTACAAAAAGAGTGTTTCAAAGCCACTCAAAAGAAAGGTTCAACTCTGTGAGACGAATGCACAAATCACAAAGAAGTTTGTCAGAACGCTTCTGTTTAGTTTTTATGTGAAGATATTTCCTTTTCTACCATAGGCCGCAAAGCGCACCAAATGTCCAAATTCAGATTCTACAAAAAGAGTCTTTCAAAACTGTTCAATCAAAAGAAAGGTTCAACTCTGTGAGATGAATCCACACATCTCAGTGAAGTTTTTCAGAATGTTTCTGTATGGTTTTTATGTGAAGATATTTCCTTTTCCACCATTGCCTCAAAGCGCCAAAAATGTCCACTTGCAGATACTATAAAAAGAGTGTTTCAAAGTTGCTCAACCAAAAGAAAGTTGAAACTCTGTGAGATGAATGCATATATCACATAGAATTTTCTCAGAAAGCTTCCGTCTACTTCTTAAATGAAGATATTTCCTTTTCCACCATAGGCCTCAATGCGCTCCAAATGTCCACTTGCAGAATCTACAAAAAGAGAGTTTCTAAACTACTCAGTCAAAGGAAAGGTTCAACTCTGTGAGATGAATGCACACATCACAAAGAAGTTACTCAGAATGCTTCTGTCTACTTCTTAAGTGAAGATATTACCTTTTCCACCTTAGGCCCCAAAGGACTCCTAATGTGCTCTTGCAGATTCTACAAAAAGAGAATTTCCAAACTACTCAATCAAAAGAAAGGTTCAACTCTGTTAGATAAATGCACACATCACAAAGTGATTGGTCAGAAAGCTTCTGTCTAGTTTTTATGTGAACATATTTCCTTTTCAACCATAGGCCTCAAATCGCTTCAAATGTACAATTGCACATTCCACAAAAAGAGTTTTTCAAAACTGCTCAATGAAAAGAAAGGTTCAACTCTATGAGATGAATGCACACATCACTAAGAAGTTTGTCAGAATGTTTCTGTCTAGTTTTTATATGAAGATATTTCCTTTTCCACTATAGGCCTCAAAGCACTCCAAATGTCCACATGCAGAGTCTACAAAAAGAGTTTTTCAAAGCTGTTCAATCAGAAGAAATGCTCAACACTATGAGATGAATGCACACATCACAAAGAAGTTTCTCAGAATTCTTCTGTCTAGTTTTTATGTGAAGATATTTCCTTTTCCACTATAGGCCGCAAAGTTCTCCAAATGTCCACTTGCAGATTCTACAAAAAGAGTGTTTCCAAACTGCTCAATCAAAAGAAAGGTTTTACTCTGTGATATGAACTCACACATCACAAAGACATTTCTCAGAATTCTTCCTTCTAGTTTTTATGTGAAGATGTTTCCTTTTCCACCATAGGCCTCAAAGAGCTCAAAATGTCCAGTTGCCAATTCTACAAAAAGAGAGTTTCAAAAGTGCTCCATCACAAGAAATGTTTAACTCTGTGAGATGTATGCAGACATCAAAAAGAAGTTTCTCAGATTGCTTCTGTCTAGTTTTTATGTGAAGATATTTCCTTTTCCACCATTGACCACAAAGCACTCCAAATGTCCACTTGCAGATTCCACAAAAAGAGTGTTTCCAAACTGCCCAATCAAAAGAAAGGTTCAACTCTGTGAGATGAAGGCACACATCACAAAGATGTCTGTCAGAATGCTTCTCTCTAGCTTTTATGTAAAGATATTTCCTTTTCCACAATAAGTCTCAAATCCCTCCAAATGTCCACTTGCAGATTCTACAACAAGAATGTTTCCAGTTTCAGTTTTCTACATATGGCTAGCCAGTTTTCCCAGCACCATTTATTGAATAGGGAATCCTTTTCCCATTGCTTGTTTTTGTCAGGTTTGTCAAAGATCTGATAGTTTGTAGATATGCGGCATTATTCCTGAAGTCTCTGTTCTGTTTCATTGATCTATGTCTCTGTTTTGGTACCAGAACAATGTTGTTTTGGTTACTGTAGCCTTGTAGTATAGTTTGAAGTCAGGTAGTGTGATGCCTCCAGCTTTGTTCTTTTGGCTAGGGATTGACTTGGCAATGCAGGCTCTTTTTTGGTTCCATATGAACTTTAAAGTCGTTTTTTTCCAATTCTCTGAGGAAAGTCATTGGTAACTTGATGGGGATGGCATTGAATCTATAAATTACCTTAGGCAGTATGGCCATTTTCACGATATTGATTCTTCCAACCCATGAGTATGGAATGTTCTTCCACTTGTTTGTATCCTCTTTTATTTCCTTGAGCAGTGGTTTGTAGTTCTCCTTGAAGAGGCCCTTCACGTCCCTTGTAAGTTGGATTCCTATTTATTTTATTCTCTTTGAAGCAATTGTGAATGGGAGTTCACTCATGATTTGGCTCTCTGTGTGTCTGCTATTATGTACAAGAATGCTTGCGATTTTTGTACATTGATTTTGTATCCTGAGACTTTGCTGAAGTTGCTTATCAGCTTAAGCAGATTTCCGGCTGAGACAATGGGGTTTTCTAGTTATAAAATCATGTCATCTGCAAACAGGGACAATTTGACTTCCTCTTTTCCTAATTGAATGCCCTTTATTCACTTCTCCTACCTGATTGCCCTGGCCAGAACTTCCAATACTATGTTGAATAGGAGTGGTGAGAGTGGGCATCCCTGTCTTTTGCCAGTTTTCAAAGGGAATACAAAAGGACAAAAAACCAAACACGTGTTCTCACTCATAGGTGGGAATTGAACAATGAGAACACATGGACAAAGGAAGTGAAACATCACACTCCGGGGAATGTTGTGGGGTGGGGGGAGGGGGAAGGGACAGAATTATGACATATACCTAACGCTAAATGGCGAGTTAATGGGTGCAGCACACCAAGACGGCACATGGATACATATGTGACGAACCTGCACATTGTGCACATGTAGCCTAAAACTTAAAGTATAATAATAACAATAATAAAAAAAAAGAGACAGCCAAAAAAAAAAAGCAGAAAAAAAAACGGTGTTTCAAAACTGGTCAATCGAAAGTAAGGTTCAACTCTCTGAGAAGAATGCACACATCACAAAGAAGTTTGTCAGAATGCTTCTGTCTAGTTTTTATGTGAAGATAGTTCCTTTTCCACCAGAGGCCGCAAAGTGCTCCAAATGTACACTTGCAGATTCGACAAAAAGATTGTTTCAAATCAGTTCAATCAAAAGAAAATTTCAAATCTGTGAGGTGAACGCACACATCACGAAGAAGTTTCTCAGAATGCTTCTGTCTAGTTATTAAGTGAAGATATTACCTTTTCCATCATAGGCCTCAAAGCGCTCCAAATGTCCACTTGCAGAATCTACAAAAAGTGATTTTGCAAACTAACCAATCAAAAGAAAGGTTCAACTCTGTGAGATGAATGCACACATCACAAAGAAATTTGTCAGAATGCTTCTGTCTAGTTTTTATGTGAAGATATTTCCTTTTCCACCATAGGCCTCAAAGCACTCCAAATGTCCACTTGCAGACAGTAGAAAAAGGGTGTTTCAAAACAGCTCAATCAAAAGTAAAGTTCAACTCTGTGAGATGAATGCACAAATCACAACGAAGTTTGTTAGAATGCTTTTGTCTAGTTTTTATGTGAAGGTATTTCCTTTTTTACCATAGGCCACAAAGCGCTCCAAATGTCCACTTGGAGCTTCTACAAAAAGAGTGTTTCCAAACTAGAAAATCAAAAGAAAGTTTCAACTCTGTGAGATGAATGCACTCGTCACAAAGAAGTTTCTCAGAATACTTCTGCATAGTTAATACATGAAGATCTTTCATTTTCCATCACACTCCTCAAAGCGCTCAAAATGTCCACTTGCAGATTCTACAAAAAAAAGTTTCAAAGCTGCTCAATCAAAAGAAAGGTTCATCTCTGTGAGACGAATGCACACATCACAAAGTAATTTGTCAGAATGCTTCTCTCTAGTTTTTATTTGAAGATATCTCCATTTCCACCATAGGCCTCAAAGCACTCCAAATGTCCACTTGCAGATAGTACAAAAAGGGAGTTTCAAAACTGCTCAATTAAAAGTAAGGTTCAACACTGTGAGGTGAATGCACATATCACAAAGAAGTTTATCAGAATGCTTCTGTCTAGTTTTTATGTGAAGATATTTCCTTATCTGCCATTGGCCTCAATGCACTCCAAATGTCCACTTGCAGATTCTACAAAGAGTGTTTCCAAACTAGAAAATCAAAAGAAAGTTTCAACTTTGTGAGATGAATGCACTCATCACAAAGAAGTTTCTCAGAATACTTCTGCGTAGTTATTACATGAAGATATTTCATTTTCCATTACACTCCTCAAAGCGCTCCAAATGTCCACTTGCAGATTCTACAAAAAAAGTGTTTCAAAGCTGCTCAATCAAAAGAAAGGTTCATCTCTGCGAGACGAATGCACACGTCACAAAGAAGTTTGTCAGAATGCTTCAGTCTAGTTTTTATGTGAAGATATTTCTTTTCCACCGTATGCCGCAAGGCTCTCCAAATGTCCACTTGCATACTCTACAAAAAGAGTGTTTCAAAACTGCCCAATCAAAAGAAAGGTTCAACTCTGTGAGAAGAATGCACACATCACAAAGAAGTTTCTCAGAATGTTTCTGTCTACTTCTTATGTGAAGATATTTCCTTTTCCACCATAGGCCTCAAAGTGATCCAAATGTCCACTTGCAGATCCTTCAGAAAGATTTTCCAAACTAGTCAATCAAAAGAAAGTTTCAACTCTGTGAGATGAATGCACACATAAAAAAGACATTTCCGAGAATCCTTCTGTCTAGTTTTTATGTAAAGATATATACTTTTACACCATAGGCATCAACGCACTCCAAACGTCCACTTGTAGATAGTACAAAAAGGATGTTTCAAATTTGCTCAATCAACAGTAAGGTTCAACTCTGTCAGATGAATACACACATCACAAAGTATTTTCTCAGAATGATTCTTTGCAATTCTTAAGTGAAGATATTTCCTTTTCCACCAGAGGCCTCAGAGCCCTCCAAAGGTCCACTTGCAGATAGTACAAAAAGAGTGTTTCAAAACTGTTCAATCAAAAGAAATGTTCAAACCTTTGAGATGAATATACACATCATGAAGAAGTTTCTCAGAATGTTTCTGTCCATGTTTTATGAGAAGATATTTGCTTTTCCACCATAGGCATCAAAGCGCACCAAGTGTCCACTTGTAGATTCTACAAAAAGAGTGCTTCAAAACTGCTCATTGAAAAGAAATATTCAACTCTGTGAGATGAATGCACACATCACAAGAAGTTTCTCAGAATGTTCTGTCTAGTTCTTAAGTGAAGATATTTCCTTTTCAACCATAGGCCTCAAAGTGCTCCAAATGTCCACTTGCAGATTGTACAAAAACAGTGTTTCAAAACTGCTCAATGGAAAGAAAGGTTCAATTCTGTGATATGAATGCAAACAACACAAAGAAGTTTGTCAGCGTGCTTCTGTCTAGTTTTTATGTGAAGATATATCCTTTACCACCATATGCCGCAAAGTACTCCAAATGTCCCTTTGCAGATTCTACAAAAAGAGTGTTTCAAACTGCTCAATCAAAAGAAAGTTCAACTCTGTGAGATGCATGCACACATCCCAAAGAAATTTCCCAGAATACTTCTGTGTAGTTTTTCTGTGAAGATATTTCCTTTTCCACCGTAGGCCTCAAAGAATTCCAAATGTCCACTTGCAGATCCTACCAAAAGAGTATTTCAAAATAGATTAATGAAAAGAAATGTTCAACTCTGTGACATGAAAGCACACATCCCAAAGAAGTTTGTGACAATGCTTCTTTATAGTTTTTATGTGAAGATATTTCCTTTTCCGCCATAGGCCTCAAAGCGCTCCTGATGTCCACTTGCAGATTCTACAAAAAGAGTGTTTCCAAGCTGCTCTATCAAAAGAATGTTTCAACTCTGTGAGATGAATGCACACATCACAAAGAAGTTTCTGAGAATGCTGCTGTCTTGTTGTTATGTGAAGATATTTCCTTTTCCACAATTGGCTGCAAAGTGCTCCAAATGTCCACTTGCAGATTCTACAAAAAGAGTGTTTCAAAACTGCTCAATCAAAAGAAAGGTTCAACTCTGTGAGATGAATGCACACATCACAAAGAAGTTTCTCAGAATGTTCTGTCTAGTTCTTAAGTGAAGATATTTCCTTTCCCACCCTAAGCCTCAAAGCGCTCCAAATGTCCACTTGCAGATTGTACAAAAACAGTGTTTCAAAACTGCTCAATGGAAAGAAAGGTTCAATTCTGTGAGATGAATGCAAACAACACAAAGTAGTTTGTCAGCATGCTTCTGTATAGTTTTTATGTGAAGATATTTCCTTTTCTACCATAGGCCTCAAGGCGCTCCAAAGGTCCACATGCAGATTCTACAAAAATAATGTTTCAAAGGTGCTCAATCAGAAGAAATGTTCAACTCTGTGAGATGACTGCACACATCACAAAGAAGTTTCTCATAATGCTTCTGTCTAGATCTTAAGTGAAGATATTTCCTTTTCCACCATAGGCCTCAAAGTGAACAAAATGTCCGCTTGCAAATTCTACAAAAAGAGTGTTTCCAAACTGCTCAATCAAAAGTAAGATTCAACTCTGTGGGTTGAACGAAAACATCACAAAGAAGTTTCTCAGAATGCTTCTGTCTAGTTCTTATGTGAAGATATTTCCTTTTCCACTTAAGGCCTAAAAGTGCTCCAAATATCAACTTGCAGATTCTACAAAAAGTGGGCTTCAAGACTTCTCAATCAAAAGTAAGGTTCAATTCCCTGAGATGAATGCACACATCACAAAGAAGTTTGTCAGAATTCTTCTGTCTAGTATTTAAGTGAAGATATTTCCTTTTCCACCATATGCCGCAAAGTGCTCCAAATATCCACTTGCAGATTCTACAAAAAAAGTGTCTCAAAACTGCTCAATCAAAAGAAAGTTCAACTCTGTGAGATGAATGCCCACATCACAAAGAAATTTCTCAGAATATTTCTGTCTAGCTTCTCTATGAAGATATTTCCTTTTCCACTATAGGCCTCAAAGTGCTCTAAATGTCCACTTGCAGATTCTACAAAAAGAGTGTTTCAAAGCTGCTCAATCAAAAGAAATGTTCAACTCTGTGAGATTAATGCACAGATCACAAACAACTTTCTCAGAATGCTTCTGTCTAGTTATTATGTGAAGATATTTCATTTTTCACCTTAGGCCTCAAATCACTCCAAATGTCCACTTGCACATGTTACAGAAAGAGTGTTTGAAAACTAGACAATCGAAGGAAAGATTCAACTCTCTGAGATGAATGCACACATCACAAAGAATTTGTCAGAATGCTTCTGTATAACATTTATGTGAAGATATTTCCTTTTCCACCATAGGCCCCAAAGTGCTCAAAATGTCCACTTGCAGATGCTACAAAAGGAGAGCTTCCAAACTACTCACTCAAAAGAAACGATCAACTCTGTGAGATGAATGCATACATCAAAAAGTAATTTGTCAGAATGCTTCTGTCTAATTTTTATATGAACATATTTCCTTTTCCACCATAGGCCTCAAACCACACAAAATGTCCACTTGCAGATAGTACCAAAAGGGTTTTTCAAAACTGTTTAATCAAAAGTAAGGTTCAACTCTGTGAGTTGAATGCACATGTCGCAAATAGGTTTGTCAGAATGCTTCTACCTAGTTTTTTTGTGAAGATATATCCTTTTCCACCTCAGGCCTCAAAGAGCTCCACATGTCCCCTTACAGATTCTACAAAAAGAGTGTTTCCAAACTGCTCAATCAAAAGAAATGTTCAACTCTGTGAGATGAATGCACACATCACAAAGATGTTTCTCAGAATGCTTCTGTCTAGTGCTTATGTGAAGATGTTTCCTTTTCCACCATAGGCCTCAAAGAGCTCCAAATGTCCACTTGCAGATTCTACAAAAAGAGTGTTTCAAAACTGCTCAATGAAAACAAAGGATCAACTCTCTGTGATGAATACATACCTCACAAAGAATTTTCTCAGGATGATTATATCTAGTTTTTATGGGAAGATATTTCCTTTTACACCATAGGACACAAAGCTCTCCAAATGTCCACTTGCAGATTCTACAAAAAGTGTGATTCAAATCTGCTCAATACAAAGAAATGTTCAACTCTGTGAGATGAATGCACACATCACAAAGAAGTTGCTCAGAAAGCTTCTGTCTAGTTTTTATGTGAAGATATTTCCTTTTCACCACAGGCCTCAAAGCACTCCAAATGTCCACTTGCAGATCAACAAAAAGAGAGTTTCCAAATTACTCAATCAAAAGAAAGGTTCAGCTCTGTGAGATGAATGCACACATCACAAAGAAATTTGTCAGAATGCTTCTGTCTAGTTTTTACTTGAAGATATTTCCTTTTACACCATAGGCCTGAAAGCACTCCAAATGTCCACTTGCTGATAGTACAAAAAGGTTGTTTTAAAATTGTTCAATCAAAAGTAAGGTTCAACTCCTTGGGATGAATGCACATATCACAAAGAAGTTTGACAGAATGCTTCTGTCTAGTTTTTATGTGAAGATATTTCCTTTTCCAAAATAGATCTCAAAGCGCTCCAAATGTCCACTTGCAGATTCTTCAAAAAGAGTGTTTCAATACTGCTCAATCAAAAGAAAGGTTCAACTGTGTGAGACGAATGCACACATCACAAAGAAGTTTCTCAGAATGCTTCTGTCTAGTTATTATATGAAGATATTTCTTTTTCCAATATAGGCCTCAAAGAGCTCCAAATATCCACTTACAGATTCAGCAAAAAGAGAGTTTCCAAACTACTCAATCAAAATAAAGGTTCAGCTCTGTGAGATGAATGCACACATCACAAAGAAAGTTGTCAGAATGCTTCTGTCTAGTTTTTATGTGAAGATATTTCCTTTTCCACCATAGGCCTCAAAGCACTCCAAATGTCCACTTGCAGATAGTATAAAAAGGGTGTTTCAAAAATGCTCAATCAAAAGTAAGGTTCAACTCCGGGATATGAATGCAAATATCACAAAGTATTTTGACAGAATGCTTCTGTCTAGTTTTTGTGTGAAGATATATCCTTTTCGACCATAGACCTCAAAGAGCTCCAAATGTTCACTTGCAGAATCTACAAAAAGACTGTTTCCAAACTTCTGAATCAAAAGAAAGGTTCAACTCTGTGAGATGAATGCACAGATCACAAACAAGTTTCTCAGAATGCTTCTGTCTAGTTTTTATGTAAAGATATTTCCTTTTCCACCATAGGCCTCAAAGCTCTCCAAATATCCACTTGCCAATTCTACAAAAAGAGTGTTTCAAAACTGTTCAATTAAACGGAAGGTTCAATTCTGTGACATGAATACACCCATCACAAAGAAATTTGTCAGAATGTTTCTATATAGTTTTTATGTGAAGATATTTCCTTTTCCACCATAGGTTTCAAAGGGCCCCAAATATCCACTTGCAGGTTCTACAAAAAGAGTGTCTCAAAGCCACTCAATCAAAAGAAATGTTCAACTTGTGAGATGAATGCACACATCACAAAGTAGTTTCACAGAATGCTTCTGTCTAGTTATTAAGTGAAGATATTTCGTTATTGACCATCACCCTCAAAGTACTCCAAATGTCCACTTACAGATTCTACAAAAAGAGTGTTTCAAAGCTGCTTAATCAAAAGAAATGTTCAACTACGTGAGATGAATGCACACATCAGAAAGAATTTTCTAAGAAAGATTCTGTCTAGTTTTTATGGGAAGTTACTTCCTTTTCCACCACAGGAAAGCCCTCCAAATGTCCATTGCAGATTCTACAAAAAGAGTGTTTCAAAACTGCTCAATGAAAAGAAATGTTCAACTCTGTGAGATGAATGCACACATCACAAGGAAGTTTCACAGAATGCTTCTGTCTAGTTTTTATGTGAAGATATTTCCTTTTCCACCATAGGACACAAAGAGCTCAAAATGTTCACTTGCAGAGTCTAAAAAAGAGTTTTTCAAAGCTGCTCAATCAAAAGTATGGTTCAACTCTGTAAGATAAATGCACACAACACAAAGAAGTTTCTCAGAATGCTTCCACCTAGTTGTTAAGTGAAGATATTTCCTTCTCCACCATATGTCTCAAAGCGCACCAAATGTCCACTTGCGGATTCTACAAAAAGAGTGTTTCAAAACTGCTCGGTCAAAAGAAAGGTTCAACTCTGTGAGTTGAATGCACACATCACAAAGAAGCTTGTGAGAATGTTTCTGTATAGTTTTTATGTGAAGATAATTCCTTTTCCACCATGGGCCTCAAATTGTTCCAAATGTCCACTTGCAGATTCTACAAAAAGAGTGTTTCAAAGCTGCTCAATCTAAGGAGAGGTTCAACTCTGTGTGATGAATGCACACATCACAAAGAAGTTTCTCAGAATGCTTCTGTCTAGTTATAATGAGAAGATATTTCGTTTTCCAACATAGGCCTCAAAGACCTCCAAATGTCCACTTGCTGCTCCTATAAAAAGAGTGTTTCAAAACTGCTCAATTGAAAGTTATGTTCAACTCTGTGAGATGAATGCATACATCACGAAGAAGTTTCTCAGAATTCTTCTGTCTAGTTTTTATGTGAAGATATTTCGTTTTCCACCACAGGCTGCAAAGCACTCCAAATGTCCAATTGCAGATTCTACAAAACTATTGTTTCAAAACTGTTCAATCAAAAGAAAGTTACAACTCTGTGAGATGAATTCACACATCACAAAGGAGTTTGTCAGAATGCTTCTGTCTAGTTTTTATGTGAGGACATTTCCTTTTCCACCATAGGCTGCAAAGAGCTCCAAATGTCCATTTGCAGAGTCTACAAAAAGAGTTTTTCAAAGCTGCTCAAAAAAAAGAAAGGTTCAACTCTGTGAAATGAATGTACTCATCACAAAGAAGTTTCTCAGAATTATTCTGTCTAGTACTTAAGTGAAGATAGTTTGTTTTCCCCCATAGGCCTCAAAGCACTCCAATTGTCCACTAGCAGATTCTATAAAAAGAGAGTTTCCAAGGTGCTCAATCAAAAGAAACATTCAACTCTGTCAGACGAATGGACATATCACAATGAAGTTTCTCAGAATGTTTCTGAACAGTTTTTATGTGAAGAAATTTCCATTTCCACCATAGTCCACAAAGCGCTCCAAATGTCCACTTGGAGATTCTACAAAAAGAGTGTGTCAAAACTGCTCAATCAAAAGAAAGTTTCAACTCTGTGAGATGAATGCACATATCACAAAGAACTTTCTCAGAATGCTTCTGTCTAATTATAATATGAAAATATTTCTTTTTCTGCCTTAGGCCTCAAAGCTCTCCAAATGTCCACTTGCAGACCCTTTTCCACCATAGGCCTCAAAGCACTTCAAATATCCATTTGCAGATTCTACAAAAAGAATATTTGAAAGCAGCTAAATCAAAAGAAATTTTCAACACTGTGAGATGAATGCACACATCACAAAGGAGCTTCTCAAAATGCCTCTGTCTAGTTTTTATGTGAAGATATTTCCTTTTCCACCATAGGCTGCCAAGCGTTAAAAATATCCACTTGCAGATTCTACAAAAAGAGTGTTTCAAAACTGCTCAATTGAAAGTATGTTTGAACTCTGTGAGATGAATGCACACATCACAAAGAAGTTTGTCAGAATGATTCCGTCTAGTTTTTATGTGAAGATATTTCCTTTTCCACCTTAGGCCACAAAGCGCACTAAATGTCCACTTGCAGATTCTACAAAAAGAGTGCTTCAAAATTGCTCAATGAAAAGAAAGGTTCAACTCTGTGAGATGAATGCACACATCACAAAGAAGTTTCAGAGAATGCTTCTGTGTAGTTTTTATGTGAAGATATTTCCTTTTCCACCATAGGCTGCAAAGAGCTCCAAATGTCCACTTGCAGATTCTACAAAAAGAGTGTTTCAAAACTGCTCAATCAAAAGTAAAGTTCAACTCTGTGAGATGAATGCACACATCAAAAGGAAGTTTCTCACAATGCTTCTGTCTAGTTGTTATGTGAAGATATTTCTTTTTCCATCACTGGCCTCAGAGCACTCCAAATATCCTTTTGCAGATTCTACAAAAAGAGTGTTTAAAAACTGCTCAGTCAAAGGGAAGGTTCAACTCTGTGAGATCAATGCACATATCACACAGAAGTTTCTCCGAATGCTTCTGTCTAGTTTTTATGTGAAAATATTTCCTTTTCCTCCAGAAGACTCAAAGCACTCAAAATAACCACTGGCAGATTATACATAAAGAGTGTTTCAAAACTGCTCAATAAAAAGAAAGGTTCAACTCTGTGAGATGAATGCACACACCCCAAAGAAGTTTCTCAGAATGCTTCTGTCTAGTTTTTATGTGAAGGTATTTCCTTTTCCACCATAGGCCTCAAAGCACTTCAAATATCCACTTGCAGATTCTGCAAAAAGAATATTTGAAAGCAGCTAAATCAAAAGAAATGTTCAACACTGTGAGATGAATGCACACATCACAAAGGAGCTTCTCAAAATGCCTCTGTCTAGTTTTTATGTGAAGATATTTCCTTTTCCACCATAGGCTGCCAAGCGTTAAAAATATCCACTTGCAGATTCTACAAAAAGAGTGTGTCAAAACTTCTCAATCAAAAGAAAGGTTCAACTCTGTGAGATGAATGCACACATCACAAACAAGTTTCTCAGAATGTTTCTGTGTAGTTTTTAGGTGAAGATATATCATTTTCCACCATAGGCCCCAAAGCGCTCCAAATATCCACTTGCAGATACTACAAAAAGTGTTTTTCAAAACTGCTGAATCCAAAGAAATGTTCAACTTTGTGAAATGAATGCACACATCAGAAAGAAGTTACTCAGACTGCTTCTGTGTTGTTTTTAGATGAAGATATTTCCGTTTCCGCCATAGGTCTTGAAGCGCTCCAAATATCCACTTGCTCATTCCACAAAAAGTGTGCTTCAAATCTGCTCAATCAAAAGAAAGTTTCAATTCTGTGAGATGAATGCACACATCACAAAGTAGTTTCTCAGAATGCTTTTGTCCAGTTTTTATGTGAAGATATTTCCTTCTCCACCATAGACCTTAAAGCGCTCCAAATATCCACTTGCAGATTCTACAAAAAGAGTGTTTCAAACTGCTCAATCAAAAGAAAGGTTCAACTCTGTGTGTTGAATGCACAAATCACAAAGAAGTTTCTCAGAATGCTTCTGCGTAGTTTTTGTTTGAAGATATTTCCTTCTCCACTGCAGACCTTAAAGCGCTCCAATTATTTACTTGCAGATTGTACAAAAAGAGTGTTGAAACTGCTCAATCAAAAGAAAGGTTCAACTCTGTGAGCTGAATGCACAAATCACAAAGAAGTTTCTCAGAATGCTTCCGTCCAGTTTTTATGTGAAGATGTTTCCTTTTACCACCATTGGCCACAAAGCGCTCCAAATATCCACTTGCAGATTCTACAAAAAGAGTGTTTCAAAACTGCTCAATCAGAAGAAAGGTTCATCTCTGAGACATGAATGCACACATCACAAAGGAGTTTCTCAGAAGGCTTCTGTCTGGTTTTTATGTGAAGATATTTCCTTTTCCACTATAGGCCGCAAAGCACTCCAAATATCCACTTGCAGATTCTACAAAAAGAAATTTTCCAAACTCCTCAATCAAAAGAAATTTTAAACTCTGTGAGTTGAATGCACACATCACAAAGAAGTTTCTCAGAATGCTTCTGTCTAGTTTTTAATTGAAGATACTTCCTTTTCCACCATTGGGCTCAAAGCACTCCAAGTATCCACTTGCAGATTCTACAAAAAGAGTGTTTCAAAACTGCTCAATCAAAACAAAGTTTCAACTCTGTGAGATGAATGCACACATCACAAAGAAGTTTCTCAAAATGCTTCTGTCTAGTATTTATGTGAAGATATTTCCTTTTCCACAATAGGCCTCAAACCGCTCCAAATATCCACTTGCAAATACTGCAAAAAGATAGTTTCAAAACTGCTCAATCAAAAGAAATCTTCAACTATGTGAGTTGAATGCACACATCACAAAGAACTTTCTCAGAACTACTCTGCGTAGTCTTTATTTGAAGATATTTCCTTTTCCACCACAGGCCCCAAACTGATCCAAATATCCACATGCAGATTCTTCAAAAGAAGTGTTTCAAAACTCTTCAATCAAAAGAAAGGTTCAATTCTGTGAGATGAATGCACACATCACAAGGAAGTTTCTCAGAAGGCTTTTGTGTAGTTTTTTGTGAAGATGTTTCCTTTTCCACCATAGGCCTCAAATCGCTCCCAATGCCCACTTGCAGATTCTGCAAAAAGAGTGTTTCAAAGCTGCTCAATCAAAAGAAATGTTCAGTTCTGTGAGATGAATGCACACATCACAAAGAAGTTTCTCAGAATGCTTCTGTCTAGTTTTTAAGTGAAGATATTTCCCTTTCCTCTAGAGGTCCCAAAGCCCTCCAACTTTGCAGATACTACAAAAAGAGTGTTTCAAAACTGCTCAATCAAAAGAATATTTCAACTCTGTGAGTTGAATGCACATATCACAAAGAAATTTCTCAGAATGCTTCTGTCTAGTTTTTATGTGAAGATATTTCCTTTTCCACCATAAGCCCCAAAGTGCTCAAAATATCCACTTGCAGATTCCACAAAAAGAGTGTTTCAAAACTGCTCAATCAAGAGAAACGTTCAACTCTGTGAGATGAATGCACAGATCACAGAGGAGTTTCTCAGAATGCTTCTGTCTGGTTTTAATGTGTAGATATTTACTTTTCCACCATAGGCTGTAAAGCATTCCAAATATCCACTTGCAGACACTACAAAAAGAGTGTTTCAAAAGTGCTAAATCAAAAGAAAATTTCAACTCTGTGAGGTGAATGCACACATCACAAAGAAGTTTCTCAGAATGCTTCTTTCTTCTCTTTATGTGAAGATATTTCCTTTTCCATTCCGAACCTCGTAGCAGTGTTTTGTAATCCTGTGTGAGGGACAAACACTCAGAATCCAGCCACTGTGTACTGGAATCCTATCTGAGGGCACACATTTAAAATCCAGATGTAGTCTCCTTGCTTTAGTGAATACACTAATCTCCTTTTCCTGCTATACATTTAGGCAAATTATTTTTCTGTATCTTAAATAAATGGTAAATACCTGAAATTTCTTACTTTTTCCAGGCAGAGTGTCTTCACTATTTAGCTGTAGAAGTATAACTATTTTTGTCTGTGTCATAATTTTGTACTCAGGAACCCTGGCCATGTCACTAGCCAAACGGACATAACTTATGGATAACATGGACAGCATCCGGTTGATACGTTCTAGAGAAAAATAGCAGCTACCATAGACTTCAGGAAAGACACATCGAACAAATGACAAAAATGTGGGTTTCCTACCTTCAGGGAGTCTAAGAATGCAGTAGAAAGTGATGTGGAGCAAACATCTTTCAAATGGAAGGAAGGGATAGGGAAAGGAAGACTGTTATAGGCTCTTTTGAATGTTAGAGGCAACATAAAACATATTTGGATGTGTATTCTAAATAAAACGCAAATGTCAAGAAGGATGTCAGCTGTGAGTGGGACTCCGAGAAAGAGAAAAGTTTTGGACTACAGAGGCCTGCAGTACAAGTGGATCTACAACTTTGTTTAGGGAATCCAATGCCTCATGTATCTATGAGAGGCAGAATTTTCCTATGGAGCCAGCGGCAAGGCTCCAGAGGAGAAATACAGTACAAGCCACTTTATTTTGGAGTAGAAGCCTTTTATACAAAAATTACCCGCCCCCTCCTTTTTTGAGAAACAATTTCACATTGGGATACTAATAAGAAGGAATGCTCAATCATGAATAAGGGTGACCCCATTGTGATCTGAGTATTATAGGATCATACTAACTACAACCAGTCTTCCATCATTCCATGGATATTGCATGTATGCCACATTGCCTTCTCAGTTTCCAAGGGATCAATTAATGAACAGGTTACTCACATTTTCAGCATCCTACTCCTGACACACTCCCACCCTTCTTTCTATTTATCTGTGATTGATAGAGATTTGCCTATGACTGGATTCCTGAGGAGAAAAAAGTCTGGATTACAGATGGCATTCCTTGTTATGGAAGGCCCTTCCTTCTGAAAGTCTATTTCTATCATGTTCTTTCCCTGTGCTGTCAAAGGGTCACCCCTTTATACAGAGGAGAAGAGATATCCATCAAGTAAATAAAATTTAATTTACCTTTGTAAAAATTATTTCTACCAATTCACATGGAGGACCTTATCGTTTGGTCCAATAATCAGAGATTTGAAAGAACCTGATATTGTTGGCCAGCAGATTAGAAAAGAGTTATTAGAGAGAGATGGCTCAAGTGATAATAACTGTGTGCCTTATGAATGCTCACCTAAACCAAAGATCACTGAAGATAATGTATTTTACCATAATGTTTTAATCTCAGGTAAATGTCAATCAGGAGACAAACACTTGTTTATCTCCTGATTGGTATTGATCTGAATTAAGCTGTCTGCCATTTGGAGAAATTGAAATGCTATTTTAAACACACAGTCTTGTTACTTGAGTTATTTATGATCTTAAGGGGCTCCCCTCCTTTTGTGGGTTAGATTGTGTCTTCAAAAAGAAAATATATATATTAGAGTTCTAGCCCCTGATGTCTGTGAGTATGACTTAATTTGAAATCAAATTATTTGCAGATGCTGTATAATTATGATATGCTAGATGAGCTCATAATGCATTAGAGTGGGCCATAATTCAATATGGTTGATATCCTCATAAGAAGGGAAGAGGAAACAGAGACGCAGGGAGGAGATGGCCATGTGAGGATGGAGGTAGAGAATAAAGTGAGGTATCCTCCAGCCAAGCAAAGACAATGAAGCTCAGTGATCACCCGGTGCTAGAAGAAGCAAGAAAGGATTTTTTCCCAGGTCCTTCAGAGAAAAATGCAGCACTGCTAACTCCTTCATTTAAGATTTCTAGCTTCCTGAACCGTAAAAAATAACTTTATCTCATTTTAAGCGACCTAATGTGAACCACTTTGTCACAGCAGATGTAGGAAATTACACCTCCTTAAAGAATGCAGAATCCTGGCCCGTGCTTGCCTCATACCTATTGAATGAGAATCTAAGGGCTCTAGAATCTGCATTTTGAAACTAATACATAATACACAAAGAGAACTCACTAAGTACTCTACATGCACTTCATCCTCACAAGCCATGAAGTAGTTTACTATTATAATTCTCATTTTACATATGGGAAACTGGAGCATTAAAAGATTAAGTAATTTGCCTACAGTCACTCACATAACCAGAAAGTGGAAGAGCTGGGATTCAATCCCAGTTTCAGACATCCTGATATCCTGGGTTCAGACACCACACACTTAGCAACTATTACACACTTAGCATTATTATTATTATTATTATTATTATTATTATTATTTTAATCACCATCTCCACCTTCTTAAGCACTCAAAAGTTGAAATCCAGTGGTGTGTTGCTGTTTCCATTCATAGCAAGTTATAGCCACAATCATAAATTACACTTCCTCCAAAACAGTATACTGACTTCTCATCTCTTTTAAAAATCCCTTCCGTCCTTCTTTTCTTTCTTCTCTTCTCTTTTCTTTTCTCTTTTCTTTCTCTTGCTCTGTCACCCAGGCTGGAGTGCAGTGGCATCATCTCGGCTCACTGCGACCTCCACCTCCCGGGTTCAAGCGATTCTCCTGTCTCAGCCTCCCAAGTAGCTAGGATTACAGGCGCCCAACACCATGCCCGTTTAATTTTTGTATTTTTAGTAGAGATAGGGTTTCACATCTTGGCCAGGCTGGTCTTGAACGGCTGACGTCGTGATCCATCCACCTCGGCCTCCCAAAGTGCTGGGATTACAGGCATGAGCCACTGTGCCCAGCCTCTTTCACCCATTGAAATCTCATTTCAACAATTACCATCTTTTTTGAGTGGTATTTTTGAAGTTATAAATGAATTCCCTATAATACATAGTGAGAATATTTATGGGAGCTTCCTAATTGACCTTTCTAAACATTCTGCATTGTTTCTCATTTCCTTCTTTAAATTTCCTTCTACCTTGCCTTCCTTAAGACCACTCAGTGTTGGCCCCATGCTTTCAATTTTTTCTTTTTTCTTTTATTTTTTTCTTTCTTTTTTTTCTTTTTTCTTTTCTTTTTTTTTTTTTTTTTTTGAGAGGAATTTTCCCTCTTTTCACCCAGGCTGGAGTGCAACAGTGTGATCTCAGCTCACTGCAACCTCCGCCTCCCAGGTTCAAGAGACTCTCCTGCCTCAGCCTCCCGAGTAGCTGCGATTACACGCATGTGCCACCATGCCCAGCTAATTTTGTATTTTCAGTAGAGATGGGGTTTCTTCATGTTGGTCAGGCTGGTCTCAAACTCCCAACCTCAGGTGATCCGCCCACCTCGGCCTCCCAAAGTGCTTGGATTACAGGCATGAGCCACAATGCCCAGCCCATGCTTTCTTTTTAATAACTCCTTGCTGCCTAGTTTTTTCATGTCCACTGTGTAAGTACTAGTCTTAATGGGTATTTCTTTTCTTACTATTCTGCACCAATGTTTCCCTGATTGACAAGAGTTTTCCTGAAATGTGTTCTTGGAATGGAATTCTATGATACGCTTAGAAAATTCTGCATACCTTATATTTCAGAATGTGTATGTAAAAGACTCCAGTAAATGATGCAGGGAAGCAAAAATATTTGTGTGTTTTGCGAGTTGTATTCATATGCGTATAAAATTCTCATGCACTTTGGGTGACAATGCTCTGCACACTTTTCCTGTGCTCCTTTTATCCATTCCCACACTTCCAGCATTTCCTTTGACATTTAATTTTCTTTCTTTATTTTTTTTTACTCCAATATTTTCCTGTAGGTTCCAAACCTATATTTTAAAATGTCAACTGATTCTCCCCCTCTGTCTTCACCACCTGCATCTCAAATTTGACATAGCCATAAACACATTTTATATTTTGGCAAATAAATCTATTTCTTTTAAAGCATTGCCCATCTCAGCTAATGATGATAATATCAAGCCAGTCGCCAAGAAAATTTAGAGTATATATGCCTTGACTCTTACTTCTAAATGAATTATTAAGTTCAGCTCTTTCTACCTTGAATTACCTTTCTATTCTGCCATTTCTCTTCTGTGTTGCTGCTAATGTTTTAATTTAGTCATTCATCACAGCATGCCTGTATTCCTGGAATAATCTTGACTATTCTTTCTGACTTTTTCTTCTAACTGCATCTCAAAAACTTCTATCTAGAATGAAAATAAGCATATATATATACTATATATACATATATACATACACACTACATGTATGTATATAGTATAAGTATAGATATGCTATATACTATATATATATGCTATATATTTATATACACACACACCCACTATGCTTTTAAAAATTGTTTACTTATGTCCCATCATTGAAGGGTAAAATACAAAATCACTGATATTTAGAGACATTCTCCTCAATCATTTAACATTTTCCTTCACAAACCTGTGCTGTAGCCACACCCAGAACAGGTTATGTTCCTTCAAAGACACACACACTTTTCTATTACTCTCCTTTTACTCCTTCTATTCCATCTGCTTAGACCATTTTTTACTTGTTTTCTGTCTATCTTCATTCACTTTTTAGGATCCAATTAAAATATTGATACAAAGGCCGAGATCTTTATATCTTCTCTTATTTAAATTCCTGGAGCACCAGATAACTTCCTCTATTATAATTCTTACTGTATACAAACATAACTCTCATTTGAAAACAATGAATACATAATTATAAAATCAGATATATCATAAAATGATTGGTATCAATATGTGAAAAAAAATCTTCAATGTTGAAAGTACAAGATTACAAGCCATCTGAAAGTAACTAAACATCTATCAGAGAAAAATGCTCATCATTTTTTGATGAAACCAAAAGTAAGAGAATTTGGTATTAATCTACATCATTGGTAAATTACATATTAATTATTGTGAGAAAGAAATAATTGATGGAATTTAAAGAAAATCGGTTTTCCTTTATTTTTATTATCCTACCTAAAAGAATTATATCTAATTAAAATAATGATTTTAAATTTATCCTGTCAAGTATGTCATCACACTAAAATCCATTGTATTTAATTTCTCAACTGAGAAATTGTATTCAATTGTATTCAATTTCTCTACTGAAAAATTAATATGAAAGCAATCACATAGCATTCAGAAATTAATAAATATTTAAAGAAATTAAGCAGCATTAGATTTTCTTGTTGTTAAATTTTTTTCTTCTCTCAGTATGGCTTAGGTCTCATTGCTTCTATTGAACACAGCACAATTCAAGCATTAATAGAGTGCCTTTATCAAAGTTGTGAATCTCAGAAATGAACAAGCTTACCTCCCTAGCTATTTATTAAAAGTTACAAGTCACTTTTTTTTTAACTTCCTAATAATCTTAGAGAGGTATATTTTGTGTTTTTGTTTGCTATATCTTTTATAAAGAAGATCCCTAATGATTTGAAAGTTAGAACCAATTTTCTGAAGGATTGAGCCACACTCCTTGAACTTTTGTGTTTGTGGGTGGCACACTATGTCTTTTGCAGACCCGGTACCTACCCCTTGGTCTAGAACATATTTTTATCCACCTGTCTTTCAAGTTTTTATTTCAGCAGGGGTGGGTGGTTTGTGGTTGACCAAAAATAGAATGGGCTACAAAAGCCCTTCCTGTTGGATATTGAATCTGCTATTTGAGTCACCCTTACATTATGAATTGACTGTTAATTAACACATTTGGTAAGAGAATATCCTGATCTGCTTTGCATGTGAGGCTCTCCCAGTAATAAACAAAGAAGCATAATTAAACGAGATTTTAATTTCTCTATGCCCTGTTAGAAATTCAGATACAATTCAAGTCATCTTGGAAATTTTAGGTTGCATTCCGATGTCGCCTCTGTTCTGGCCATTGTGCAATGGGCCTTCAAATGTTGTAGTAGAGACCAACTGATATTCCATTGTTATTCATTTATACACAGGTATATATATGGTGTGTGTATGCAAATATACATATAAATATTCATATATGTGTACATGTGTACATACATACATATGGAGGTAATACAAGTTTGCATTGTTTTTAAAATTTTTTTACCCAAATTAACAATGACTCTATTGTATATCTTTATTGGTTATATTACATTTATATAAATAAATTTATATCAGTGAGAATTTTCAAGTAAGTGAAATTTGAATTGGATTCAGGGTTTTATTTTTTTGAAATTTCCAATTAAAATTACTTGATTTTTTTAAATTTTATCTTAAAATACTCAAGACCCATTTGTAGAAAAAAATAGAGGATAAAAATGAAGTGTGTCTTTATGAGTCACAAATTTTTATTTTACTTTAATAATTGTCAAAATAATATTTTTACCATGAGGCATTTTATAATGCCTTCTTTATTTATTTATTTTTTTGGTGATGTACTTTTTATTATTATTATTATTATACTTTAAGTTTTAGGGTACATGTGCACAAAGTGCAGGTTAGTTATATATGTATACATGTGCCATGTTGGTGCACTGCACCCACTAACTTGTCATCTAGCATTAGGTATATCTCCCAATGTTATCCTTCCCCCCTCCCCCCACCCCACAACTGTCCCCAGAGTGTGATGTTCCCCTTCCTGTGTCCATGTGTTCTCATTGTTCAATTACCACCTATGAGTGAGAACATGTGGTGTTTGGTTTTCTGTTCTTGAAATAGTTTACTGAGAATGATGATTTCCAATTTCATCCATGTCCCTACAAAGGACACGAACTCATCATTTTTTATGGCTGCATAGGATTCCATGGTGTATATGTGCCACATTTTCTTAATCCAGTCTATCATTGTTGGACATTTGGGTTGGTTCCAAGTCTTTGCTATTGTGAATAATGCCACAATAAACACACGTGTGCATGTATCTTTATAGCAGCATGATTTATAGTCCTTTGGGTATATACCCAGTAATGGGATGGCTGGGTCAAATGGTATTTCTAGTTCTAGATCCCTGAGGAATCGCACACTGACTTCCACAGTGGTTGAACTAGTTTACAGTCCCACCAACAGTGTAAAAGTGTTCCTATTTCTCCACATCCTCTCCAGCACCTGTTGTTTCCTGACTTTTCAATGATTGCCATTCTAACTGGTGTGAGATGGTATCTCGTTGTGGTTTTGATTTGCATTTCTCTGATGGCCAGTGATGATGAGCATTTTTTCATGTGTTTTTTGGCTGCATAAATGTCTTCTTTTGAGAAGTGTCTGTTCATGTCCTTCGCCCACTTTTTGATGGGGTTGTTTGTTTTTTTCTTGTAAATTTGTTGGAGTTCATTGTAGATTCTGGATATTAGCCCTTTGTCAGATGAGTAGGTTGTGAAAATTTTCTCCCATTTTGCAGGTTGCCTGTTCACTCTGGTGGTAGTTTCTTTTGCTGGGCAGAAGCTCTTTAGTTTAATTAGATCCCATTTGTCAATTTTGGCTTTTGTTGCCATTGCTTTTGGTGTTTTAGACATGAAGTCCTTGCCCATGCCTATGTCCTGAATGGTAATGCCTAGGTTTTCTTCTAGGGTTTTTATGGTTTTAGGCCGAACGTTCAAGTCTTTAATCCATCTTGAATTGATTTTTGTATAAGGTGTAAGGAAGGGATCCCGTTTCAGTTTTCTACATATGGCTAGTCAGTTTTCCCAGCACCATTTATTAAATAGGGAATCCTTTCCCCATTGCTTGTTTTTCTCAGGCTTGTCAAAGATCAGATAGCTGTAGATATGCGACGTTATTCCTGAGGGCTCTGTTCTGTTCCGTTGATCTATATCTCTGTTTTGGTACCAGTACCATGCTGTTTTGGTTACTGTAGCCTTGTAGTATAGTTTGAAGTCAGGTAGTGTGATGCCTCCAGCGTTGTTCTTTTGGCTTAGGATTGACTTGGTGCTGCGGGCTCTTTTTTGGTTCCATATGAACTTTAAAGTAGTTTTTTTCCAATTCTGTGAAGAAAGACATTGGTAGCTTGATGGGGATGGCATCGAATCTGTAAATTACCTTGGGTAGTATGGCCATTTTCACGATACAGATTCTTCCTACCCCTGAGCATGGAATGTTCTTCCATTTGTTTGTATCCTCTTTTATTTCCTTGAGCAGTGGTTTGTAGTTCTCCTTGAAGAGGTCCTTCACATCCCTTGTAAGCTGGATTCCTAGGTATTTTATTCTTTTTGAAGCAATTGTGAATGGGAGTTCACTCATGATTTGGCTCTCTGTTTGTCTTTTGTTGGTTTATAAGAATGCTTGTGATTTTTGTGCATTGATTTTGTATCCCGAGACTTTGCTGAAGTTGCTTATCAGCTTAAGGAGATTTTGGGCTGAGACAATGGGGTTTTCTAGTTATACAATCATGTCATCTGCAAACAGGGACAATTTGACTTCCTCTTTTCCTGATTGAATACCCTTTATTTCCTTCTCCTGCCTGATTGCCCTGGCCAGAACTTCCAACACTATGTTGAATAGGAGTGGTGAGAGAGGGCATCCCTGTCTTGTGCCAGTTTTCAAAGGGAATGCTTCCAGTTTTTGCCCATTCTGTATGATATTGGCTGTGGGTTTGTCATAGATAGCTCTTATTATTTTGAAATATGTCCCATCAATACCTAATTTATTGAGAGTTTTTAGCATGAAGGGTTGTTGAATTTTGTCAAAGGCCTTTTCTGCATCTATTGAGATAATCATGTGGTTTTTGTCTTTGGTTCTGTTTATATGCTGGAATTACATTTATTGATTTGCATATATTGAACCAGCCTTGCATCCCACGGATGAAGCCCACTTGATCATGGTGGATAAGCTTTTTGATGTGCTGCTGGAATCGGTTTGCCAGTATTTTATTGAGGATTTTTGCATCAATGTTCATCAAGGATATTGGCCTAAAATTCTCTTTTTTAGTTGTGTCTCTACCCGTGTAATGCCCTCTTTAAAGCCTCAAAATCTCTAATGCAGAAAGAATGACTTTTAAATATCCTACATATTTAAACCATTTATTTTATACAACAATCTCATAGATGCAAAACTACTACTAATAAACAAGTAACCTAAGCTGAATTAAATAAAAGTATACAAAAAAAAATTAGCCGTCTCTGGTGGTGGATGCCTGTAATCCCAGCTACTCATGAGGCTGAGGCAGGAGAATTGCTTGAACTCAGGAGGTGGCGGTTGAAGTGAGCCGAGATCCCGCCACTGCACTCCAGCTTGGACGACAGAGCAAGACTGTCTCAAAGAAAAAATAAAAAAAATAAAAGAAAAGAAAGAAAGAAATTACTTCTTTTACACTTGCTCTTCTGTGTTTAGTTTCGAAATTATCATCTTCATGCAAAGTATTTAGCACAGTGTCTGGCAGATAGAAAAAGTTAGCTATTATTTATTTATTTATTTATTTATTTATTTATTTATTTATTTGAGACGGAGTCTTGCTGTGTCTCCAGGCTGCAATGCAGCGGTGCAACCTTGGCTCATTGCAACCTCTGCCTCCCGAGTTCAAGCGATTCTCTTGTCTCAGCCTCCTGAGTAGCTGGAATTACAGGCATGCACCACCACGCCAAGCTAATTTTTTTTTTAATTTTATTTTTTAAGTAGAGATGGGATTTCACCATGTTGGCCAAAATGGTCTATGTCTCTTGACCTTCTGATCTGCCCGCCTCGGCCTCCCATGGTGCTGGGATTACAGGCGTGAGCCGCTGCCCCCAGCTGCTAGCTATTATTTCTAATCCTTTGCCATGCTCAGGTATAATCTTCCCAAATCCAGAAGTAATTTTATAACTTCAGCTAATTGCAGTGATAAATTATTGAAATATTTTCCTAAAGAAAATACACAAATGAAACCTTAAAAATACAAGGACTGGGCCGGGCACGGTGGCTCGCGCCTGTAATTCCAGTACTTTGGGAGGCTGAGCTGGGTGCATCACCTCAGGTCAGGATTTCGAGACAAGCCTAGCCAACATGGCGAAACGTCGTCTCTACTAAAAATACAAAAATTAGCTGTGCATGGTGGTGGGCGCCTGTAGTCCCAGCTACTCGGGAGGCTGAGGCAGGAAAATCGCTTGAACCTGGAGGCGGAGGTTGAATGAGGCTAGGTCTCACTGCTGGACTGCAGCCTGCGCCAACAGAGCAAAAACTGTCTAAAAAAAAGTAAAGGCTGGGCATGGTGGCTCATGCCTGTTATCCCAGCACTTTGGGAGGCCAAGGCGGGCAGATCACGAGGTCAGGAGATGGAGACCATCCTGGCTAACACAGTGAAACCCCGTCTCTACTGAAAATGCAAAAAATTAGCCGGGCATGGTGGCGGATGCCTGTAGTCCCAGCTACTAAGGAAGCTGAGGCAGGAGAATGGTGTGAACCCGGGAGGCAGAGCTTGCAGTGAGCCGAGATCGTGCCACTTCACTCCAGCCTGGGCTACAGAGGGAGACTCTGTCTCAAAAAAAAAAAGAAAAAAGAAAGAAAGAAAGAAAGAAGGAAAGAAAGAAAGAAAGATGAAGGTATAGTAAATTATGAAAGAGAAAAGGAGAGAATAAGCATCTTCAACAAGAAAAATGAAAATAATAAAAACTATACAATTGCAAAACAATAACTCTTGTTAAAATATTTTACATGTCATATTGTAAATAAGACACCCTCAGTGTATGCAGAAATGATTACATAAGTATAGGAAACAGCTGTCATTGTAGATATATAAACTAGAGAAATGCGAATCAGAAATAAGTTTATCAACTAGAAGAGAGAAGAAATTTTTGTTTGAGTAAATCTACTGTCTATAATTTAAAAATACACAATGGTATTTCTTTCATTAAATAGATTTATTTAAATATAAAAATAAAAGCTTATACATAGGCCAGAAGAAATATTGCTGGTTTATAATAGGGTTCATAGGAACTAAAATGGGTAATTAGATAAGACAGTGTGTAAATAATTATGTTATTTTAGTAAAAATATCCAACACTGTATCTTTCAAATAAAAATATACTTTTTTAAAGGTCAACAAAAAGTTATTGTTCTTCAAATTTTAACATTTATCCTCCAAGTGAAATTACTATAAGAAGAAACAACTAACCTATAAATAAATAATCTACTTTTTGGAAAAGTTAACAAACCTCTCTACACACAATATAATTAAGAAAGATAATAAGAAACATATATAATTTCAAGATTTTCAATTTTTTTTTTACTAAGCCAGAGAAGATAAATGAATTAATCATTCATGTCAGTAAGTAAATACAGGATCAAAAAACATACCTAATGGAAGGAAATTAATAACAGAAAAGTAAAAATTATAATCTAGAAAATGAAAGATATAAATTGATTCATAAATGGATAAGACTTTTAAGACTTTTTTTGAAGAAATCATTTCAAACTAGAATAAGCAAGAGGAATAGATCAAAACAAAAAGGAAAACAGTGAAGGTGATATACACATCCTCTTACTGAAAATTAATTTTAAAGAACTGCTTTGTAAACAAGAAAACACAGAGTCATCAATGTGTCTGGATATGGATTCATTTTTATTTCTTCTGCTCAGCACTTGTTTCATACTTTAAATTAGAGTCCTCAAGTCTTTCCTCTGCAATGGAAATTTTATGACATCATGTAAAGTATACAAATAGTGAAGGCATTGCCAGTGTTTCCTTGTGTATAAGTATTCTCTACCATTAGAATGGAAACGTCATGAAAGTGGGCCCTTAGTGAGTGTTTGCTGAGTGGATGAATACTGTCCTTAAATATGGCTTCTCCATTCTCTTTGGACTCCTTTTGAAACTCCTATCATACATGTGTTGGGGACTTTCTTGACTGGTCTTTCTGACTTTTAAATCATTTTATCTGGATAAATTCATCATTATCTCCCAATTGACTAATTCTTTGTGTTTATTGCATTTACACTTCTTTTTTATATAATTTTCATTTCTAGAGATTTTAATTTTTTTTTTCCTTTTTTGAGATGGAGTCTTGCTCTGTCACCCAGGCTGAAGTTCAGTGGCAAGATCTCGGTTCACTGCAACCTCCTACTCCTGGGTTCAAGTGACTCTCCTCCTGCCTCAGCCTCCTCTCCTGTTTCAGCCTCCTGAGTGGCTGGAATTACAGGCATGCGCCACCACACTCGGCTAATTTTTGAATTTTTAGTAGAGACGGGGTTTCATTATGTTGGTCAGCCTGGTCTAGAACTCCTGATACCATGATCCACGCCCCTCAGCCTACCAAAGTGCTGGGATTACAGGTGTGAGCCACCACGCCTGGCTGCTTTTAATTTTTTATATCAATCTTTACTTTTTTTTTTTGCCTGCTTTTTTTTTTTTCCCAGAGTCTTACTCTGTTGCCCCGGGCAGAGTGCAATTGCGTGATCTCTGCTCACTGCAATCCCCCAGGGTTCTATCAGTTCTCTTACCTCAGCCTCTGGAGTAGCTGGGATTGCAGGCACCCGCCACCATTCCCAGCTATGGTTTCACCATGTTGGCCAGGTTGGTCTTGAAGTCCTGACCTCAGGTGATACACCCACCTTGGCCTCCCAAAGTGTTAGGATTACAGGCATAAGCCACTACGCCTGGCCTTTTGCTTGTTTTTATTTATATTTTTTTTCTTTTTTGAGATGGAGTCTAGCTCTGTCGCCCGGGCTGGCGTGCAGTGACGTGATCTCAGCTCACTGCCAGCTCTGCCTCCCAGGTTCACGCCATTCTCCTGCCCCAGCCTCCCGAGTAGCTGGGACTACAGGTGCCCGCCACCATGCTGGGCTAATTTTTTTGTATTTTTATTAGAGAGAGGGTTTCACTGTGTTAGCCAGGATGGTCTTCATCTCCTGACCTCATGATCCACCCAACTCATCCTACCAAAGAGCTGGAATTACAGGAGAGAGCCACCACACCAGGCGTCTGTTTTTACTTTTAAGTCTTCTATTCTTTTTGATGAATTTTCTTCTTCTGTTTTTTTTTGGCAGAGGCTCACTCTGTTACCCAGGTTGGAGTACAATGATGCCATCTTGGCTCACTACAAAGTCCGCCTCCTGGGGTCAAGCAATTCTTCTGCTTCAGCTTCTTGAGTAGCTGGGATTACATGCACCCACCACCGTGCCCTGCTAATTTTTGAATTTTTAGTAGAGATGGGGTTTCACAGTGTTTACCAGGCTGGTCTTGAACTCCCGACCTCAGATGATTTACCCATCTCAGCCTCCCAAGGTGCCGGGATTACAGGCGTGAGCCACCATGCCTGGCCCTGGATGTTTTCTTCTTAAAAAGCCAGTTGAGAATTCTAAATGTACTCACTTAAAAGGAAAATTTAGTTTGCTATAATATTTCTCATATTTGCTGTGGTGAATTCATCTCTAGGAGGTTTCTTTGTAAAATTATTTCATCATCTCTCTAATAGTTAATTCTCCATGTTTTGTAATATTTTTGCACACTCACCTTGAATGAGAAGTTCTCTACATGTCATAGTCATATAACAAACAGAATTCACTCTCCTTCACCACTAATCACACTTCTGTATATTCAATAAAATGTGCATTTCTTCATGGATACTCTTTGAATCATCTAAATGGAGACTCTTTATAGAAATATTGAATCATTAATTCTTCCAACTACTGTACTCCTTTCCAACATACCGTCTTACTGATTTTTCACTTTTTCCTATTTATATTCATTTTGTTCTACTAACCCGTCTGTCATTGGCCTTCTTCTATAGCCAATCTCAAATTTCAGTTCACACTAGCTGTGAACAGCACTCAAATTGTTGCTGTATTCTTAAAATATAAATTTACTTCATAAAGCAAAAGTGAATTATATGCATGTTACAAAAAATATTCCTAGCAGAGATAAGATAGGATGGTATTTGCTGGGATGTGCAGCACCGTTTTTTCCAAATTAATTTCTATCAGAATTCTCTCCTCCCTACTGCCAGGCAGAGCTCACCACTCACAAGTCATGAATGACATTTTCAGTCATTTTTCATCTTATCTGATCATATGACTTGAATTAATGTTTAGATCTGCTAAGGGCAAACACCACCATGAAATTAAATTTGCAAGAGGGAAGAAGGAGGAAGTAGGAGAAGGTGGGTAGAGTCTTCAGACTAGGGTGCAGATCTTACACCTGTAGAGGGAAAGAGGGAAGGAAGGCTGATTGGGGTAGAAAGAGACTGCAGCATGGTTCCAAGAATGCTTTGGCCTAGGTCACTGCAGACTCCTTAAATTAAAGTTACTCATTGGAGACTCTCACAACTCACTGGAAACGTCCTCACATACAATCCTCATGTAGCTATATGACTGTTGGAAACATGACTGCTACACAAGTGTAGAAGTGCTTCCAGAGACAGAGGGCTAAAGCCAGACTGTCGCTGACTTATGCTGTCTGAGTCAGGATATCTGCACTGAAAATTTCCTTGGTCATTAAAATCCATTACCCCCACCTCCTAACCCCACCACAGCACACACATATCTGTCCAAACAGGTTCTTCATACCAGCTCTTCCAAAATTCCCATGATCCTCTCTTTTCCAAGAGGAATCTTCGAAAAGAAGGTTAATGAGACCAAGTCTAGCCCATGCTATAGCAGTTGGTCTCAGAACTGCCTTTGAATGCCCAGTTGTGTGAGAGGGAGAGAAAGAGAGAGAGAGAGCATGGGAGTGGGGAGTGTGTGTGTGCGTGAGTGTGTGTGTGTGTGAGAGAGAGAGAAATTATCTCTGCTTCTTTTGTAGAAAAGTAGCCCTACCTCCTCCTGCTAATCAGGGTGTATTCATCCTGCCCCAGTGGTAATGTATTTCTTGTCTTTTGGTTACTGGACCTAAGGAATCTAAAGCACCCAACAGATAACCTTCTTTAGAGAGCAGGACTTACCTGCCTTCCAGATCCCAGAGCTGCAGTGATGAGAAGCACAGGAAAACCTGAGAAGATTATTGGGAGCATTTGTAATTAGGGACATTCCTGTTTCTACCTCTTGTTTTCTGAACCTGTAGATTCTTCCTATGGGAGAAGAACTACTATATAAAGATCTGTGATTGAATATGTATAAAAGATGGTGCCCCCTGCATTCAGAATGTCTTCTTTAGCATAGTGCCTCAGTTGCATCTTTAGAATATTTCTCCAGGGCTCCATGAGTCTAGCTGCTTCTTGAAGAGTGTATGTAATACAAATAGTAGATTACATGGTCATGGACCCACTTCTGCCCATCCTTTGCTGTGAACAAGGAACCCTGGTCAGATGCTATACCATGTGGGATTTTATGCCTGTGGATCAGGAATTCTGGAAACCTCAGAAAAGTGGTCCTGGCTCAGGCTCTGTGAACAGAATTGCCAAACCCAGCCCTGTAATAAGGATATATCCCTCTGAGGATGAAAAGGTGGTCATTCAAGGTCAAAAGACTTGCCATATAAGAGTCTCATTATTGATTTATGCTGTTGAAAAGTAGGACAGTCAGAGGCAGCAGTAGTTAGATCAACCTTGATACATGGAAGTCCAGGCTGTGGGGCCCATATGTATTGTCCATCTCTGCCAACATGGTCATATGAGTGACTGCATATGTGTGACTGTTGTGCTTGTTGTGGGAAAGCCAATCTCCAAGGCTGGCAGCTTTTCAAGTCATTTTGTCTGATTGGTAATTGAGTGCCTCTTCTGTGGTGAGTGCTTTCTTGTGAGTGTTAACGTGCAATACAAGATTCTTTACACTCCGTGCCTGCTCCTGCATGTCCACTCATATGCTTCTAACCCAGCTTCCTTGTCTCAGATATTTCAGTTCTTTTCTATCTAAGCCTCTGAACAGATGATTCACCCACTGACTATGGCAAAGAAATCTGTTTATATTCCTGCCTTAGGCCATGTTTCTTCTATGTAAAGTAGATGGCCAGGGCCACTGCTCCCAGTGCTGCTAATGGGGAATGTTTTAATTTCCTTCTGTCTTTCAGATTCATTCTTGCATTGGGCTGCAACGCAACTACACCTTTAAACAGAGATTGCCCCTTTCTTCCTCCTTCAGATGGCCACAGGGACACAAATGCAGTCACAGGTGTGAGCTGAAGGAAGGTTGCTGGTGCAAACATGATGGGTGACATGAGGATCTGGGTTACATGCTATTCAACTTATCCACTTGCTCTTATCTTGCTTGGCCTTTGTCTCATATTTACTATTTCCACCTCATGATGAACTACTTCTTTTCCCTTCTGGTGTCATGACTTGGTGGTCCCAATAGAACTCAGCCTGCAAGAGGTAGTGCCAGAAGCATGGTAACTTATCAAGCACAGCATCTCTCCTAGGTCCAACATATAATTCTCTGCTATGAAGGGCATGGCTTTGTTTCAGAATCCCAGGAGCTGGTGTTGTAATTCTTTCACTGAGAATTGCCATGTGTGCCACACTGCGACCACCATTGACACCTGCAAGAATACAGGTCCTGCAAGATCATATGACCCAAGCTGCAGGGCTCTTCACAATGCAGCCTGGACATGCTGTGGAGCCCTGTCCTGCCCTGCACTCTTCAAACCCTGTGGTCTTCCTATCTCCCTGACTTGTCTTGTGGCTTACTTGTGTTATGTTGCTTAGGGTTTCTTGAGTTTTATGAGTTTGTATTTTTATAACTGTATAGATATAGATGGATAAATATAGATATGGTCAGAGAGGAAGATTAAGAGAGAAAGACAAAGAATTTAAAAAAAAAGACTTTACCTGACATGTATAAAAAAAATCAAACTCCACCTCTAATCCCAGAACTTTGGAAGGCCAAGGTGGGTGAATCACAAGGTCAGGAGATCGAGACCATCCTGGCTAACACGGTGAAACCCCGTCTCTACTAAAAATATACAAAAAAATAGCCAGGCGTGGTGATGGGAGCCTGTAGTCCCAGCTACTCAGGAGGCTGAGGCAGGAGAATGGCGTGAACCCGGGAGGCAGAGCTTGCAGTGAGCCGAGATCTTGCCACTGCACTCCAGCCTGGGTGACAGAGCAAGAATCCATGTCCAAAAAAAAAAAAAAAAAAATCAAACTCCATAGTGAGAAGTCAAACAACACAATAACAAAATGGGCAAGAGATTTGAGCAGACAACAATAACCAAAGATATATGAATGATCGATAAACACTGAAAAATGCATCATTAACCACCTGGGAGTGGAACTTAAAAATCAAAATGCAATAACACTGCACAGAAACTATAATGGATCCAAAAAAATGTCAATTCTGAATGTTTGAGAGGACATACAACACCCTGAATTATCATATTTAGGTGGGAGTATAAAGTGGAAAATCAGTTTGGATTGCAGTTTGGCAGTTAAACATACACTTACAATTTGACCTAGAATATTCCATTCTTACTTACTCAAGAGAAATGAAAACGTGCATACAAATGAACGTAGCAGCTTTACTTGTAATAATCAAGGAATAGAAACATTTGTAAATGGTTCATCAACAGGCTAAAGGATAAACATATTGTAGTATTTCCATATAATAGAATAAAATAGAAAGAACCGCTGATTTTGCAACGTAGGTGATCCTAAAATATATTGAGAGAATGAAACAACAGTAGGGATATTATAAAAGTTTATTATTACAAAATTCTAGAAACTGAATTTATAATGGTAGGTTGCAGATCAATGGCTTCTTGGAGCCAGAGGTTTTGGTAAGGAGTACAAAAGAACTTTTGAGGCAATAGACAGCTTCAGTATCTTCATTGGTGGTAGCCACATAACTTTATATGTTTGTACTTAATTTGGATGTATTTTATTGTATTGAAAGTAAACCTCAGTTAAGTTGACTTTTAAAATTTATTAGATTCTAAAATATTAATTTGCTTCCATCCATTATATTTATTCACAAATTCTACAATAGTATGTTTTAGAAGACCGTAATAGACACAGTAACTGGCATATTCATAAAGGAAATTTCCTTATGTAGGATAGTTTTTAGGGGAAATGCCTGAAACAAAAAAATCTACATCTGCTTGTCATAATTCGCTGCACAAAAGATCTAAATGTGTAACTGGCAATCAGCTTTAGCTTTCATTATCTTTCATAGCAGCATGGATCAATTATATTTACCCAGTTGGCTATCTCTCCATGCTAAACTCATATTGCATACATGCCTCTGAAATTCCAGTCATGTATAGTCTGTAATTTATACCTATATTACACAATTTGTATACTTTTCCACTTTAAAGGGGGGATTTATACCTGCAAAGGGACTTGACCTACAACTATCATCCAATTCTGTTCCAAATTTTGGATACTATGACTCTATTCTGGGAAATTATTCAATAGTTTTGTTTCATTTGACTCTTCCTACAGACATAATGTGCTGAAGTAAACCTGTTTTTTATGTTTGGAAAGTAACCTTTTGACTGGTGTTTTCTAGCTTTTGGAAAACATGTCCTCGAAGCAGAAGTAATTAGTTGTTGAGGGAATAGAACCACAGCATTTCTGACCTAGGCAAATTGAAATCTTGTCATCCTTGATGACAAACATGACATGACACATGATTGCTTTTTTCAGGGAGTTCTTATGTAACATATTTTACCCCCAACTAGTTGGTATCATTCAAATCAAATTTTATAATTTTACTGTGTATTAGGATGCAGTTTTATAATTTCCAAAGCATCTTTATGCATATTTTTTCTCAAATAAATCCTACAGCAACTGTGTGAGATACTCAAAGGTGAGAATATTATCCCCATTTTATAACTAAGCAAGCAGACTCTAAGATTTGTTAACTTTTTAGAGCTGAATTTTAGTCCACTATTTTATGTTATCAACCGTTGATTTGCTGTGCTATACCCACCAATTTAGAAAAAAATTTACCCAAGGTGGTAACATATAATACAATTAATTTATTTTTTTTCTCTCTGCTTGAAAACAGAAACAATGGTGATTATGGAGTATCTACTGATTATTTTGCTGGGACAAGTTGATGTCACTGAATTTATAAATTGAACTGAACTGATAACCTCAGTTACTTTGCCAAAATTCCTTCTTATAATATTACATAAACTGTGGAATGCAGAAGAGGTACTTTTAATTTCTAATTATTTAAGTAGAGAAAGACTCAACACTTCCTTTTAGCCTCACACATAAAATTTCTGGTTGATACATCACCAGCGATTGTGTTTCAGCATGTACATAAATGCAGCTTTCTGAATAGGCAAACTTACAGGAAATACGGAATATCATTGTATTTACATACAGCAGTATCTCAGACATCATTCCAAAAACTAAAGGACAATGAGGAAATATTTCCAAAAGCCATATTACAGTGGTTTGGGGGAGGTAAAAGAGAGAATGCTGCAATATGTTTTCCTGTTTGACTGACTCAAGCTACATTCTAGGAGATATTTTAAAAAGTGAATAAAATCTCTGTGTCATAGTCAAAAGATGTAAGGCAAACCACAATAATCCGAGGAAATCTGAAATGAATATTAGTAAATACAACCTTCTGGATTTGGTTTTACTTACCTAGTATGTTGACTATGTCTGCTTATGGTTTCCTTATTTATGCCTACCTACACCATCTTTTAATTAAATGTGCCAATAAAATTTCATCTACGTGCAGAATTTCCTTTGCTTGACACAAACACTTTGTTCTACTGTGAATCAACTGCTGGGGCTTTCTATTGTATGGATATCTACAAAGGGATGTGCTGTAACTCAAGTATAAGCAGATGGTTCTTTCATTGTTGTAAATCAAATTGGTATGACCTGTGACTGGGTTCGATGTGGCCCCAGCTTTCTGAGGCCTGTGAAAATTGCTAGGTTGCTCGTTTTCATTTTTTCTTATCACCTTAACTGGAGTTGGAGGCCCTTGCAAGTCCAGGACAATGACGTCATAGGCAACCTCAGTTGTCTAGTGTGACTTAATAAGCCTGATGTATGTAGTAGAACCAATCTTTTCTTTTATATATAATGCCATTTTAAGTGATGTGAACCTTATTCTCTAGGTTACAGGTATTGGATTACTTTAGTTCTTTATTATAATAAGCAAGGGTTAATTTGTTGCTGTTGTTGCTGTTGTTTGAGACAGAGGCTCGCTCTATCGCCCAGGCTGGAGTGCAGTGGCGTGATCTTGGCTCACTGCAAGCTCCACCTCCCGGGTTCACGCCATTCTCCTGCCTCAATCTCCTGAGTAGCTGGGATTACAGGCACCTGCCACCATGCTCAGCTAATTTTTTGTATTTTTAGTGGAGACAAGGTTTCACCCTGTTAGCCAGGATGATCTTGATCTCCTGATCTCATGATCTGCCCGCCTCAGCCTCCCAAAGTACTGGGATTATAGGCGTGAGCCACCGCGCCCTGCCCGTTAATTTGATTTTTTAACTCCTAAATTCTACCACTTTCCTTACTCGCTTTCTAATGAAAATTGATGGAGAAAATAAGCTGAAAATATCACAATTCTAAACATTCCACTATTTTGAGATTCTAAAATTATTGGCTTTTTGTGTTCACTGATTCATGTCGGATTTTTAGTAGCATAATCAAACCTTTTTTTGGCAATGGTATATAGAGTGCAAAATGCAGAGCCATTTGCCATGGTGTAGATGCTCTCAGTATGCCCCTGTGTCTAAAGAGATACTATTCTTCAACATAAATCAGACATATAGAAAATACTTACAGCACAGAAAATATGAACTATGGCATAGAAATACATTAAATTAGCTAAATGACATCCCTAATAAAGAACTGAATCTGGCCGGGCACGGTGGCTCACGCCTGTAATCCCAGTACTTTGGGAGGCCAAGGAAGGCGGATCACCTGAGGTTAGTTCGAGACCAGCCAGGCCAACATGGTCTACTAAAAAAATTACAGAAATTAGCTGGGCATGGTGGCAGGCGCCTGTAATCCCAGCTACTTGGGAGGCTGAGGCAGGAGAATCACTTGAACCCGGGACGCGGAGGTTGCAATGAGCTGAGATTGTGCCATTGCACTCCAGCCTGTGCAACAACAGCAAAACTCCATCTCAAAAAAAAAAAAAGAATCTATTCTAAAACTGGGAATTTTATGTTTAAGTAGATTCACTTAATTTTTTCCTATAATCTCCTGGGACAAATAAATGTTTTCAACAGTTGCGCTTAACAAACTGAAGAACTGGAAGGAGAAACAACATTATTAATAATTACTTCCATAGTGGGGCGTGGCTCACATCTGTAATCCCAGCACTTTGGGAGGCCGAGGTGGGCTCATCACGATGTTAAGAGATCAATACCATCCTTGCTAACACGGTGAAAACCGGCCCCTACTAAAAATACAAAAAATTAGCCGGGCATGGTGGCGGGCGCCTGTGGTCCCAGCTACTTGGGAGGCTGAGGCAAGAGAATCGCTTGAGGAAGCCCAGCCAACACGGCTAAACCCCATCTCTACTAAAACTACAAAAGTTAGCTGGGCATGTTGACGCATGTATGTAATCCTAGCTACTCCCGGAGGCTGAGACAAGAGAATCGCCTCATCCCTGGAGGCGGAAGTTACAGCAAGCCGAGATCACGCCACTCCACTCCAGCCTGCTCTACAGAACAAGACTCCGTCTCTCAAAAAAAAAAAAAAAAAAAAAAAAATTCCTACGATGCATGATTAGATTACAAAGTTTTCTATTCTTTTCTTTTAAAAATAAATATCTTAGCTGCCTGTTTTCATTCCGGACATCAAAATTGCCTAAAGTCTTTGTGGGCAATATCATCAACCCTTGAGGGAAATTCAAGATATTCCCAACACAGAAATATTCTTAGCTGAAAAGAGTATGGGATGACAATTTTCAACCTGGCACATATAAAAAGAAGAAAAATGTTGGGTAAATGAACAGCAAAAGAAAGATGGCATTCATATGTCCTATGCAATTCTGAATACTTATTTTATGTAGGTGATTATTTTAATGAAAGACATTTATAGATCCAAAATATTTTTTAACTTAACGAACTTTGGCAAAACAATGCCCTTCAGTCAGTGACTATATTGTCAAGTTTCATCTACCTCTGATCAAGGAAACACAAATAATAGTAATTCCATAATCAGTATGTGTGAGAAAATAAGAGCTGTGTTTAGTTCTAATTATTTTGAGTTATGCCACATAACACATAACAGTATACATTTATTTTGAGTTCATATGTAGAATTAGACTACTTTTTAATTTTGGGAACATGGAGAACAATATTATAGGATTATATTAGTAAGGCTATGGTAAATACTAACATTAAGCTCTCCTTATGTGCCACACACAGTTCCTTCACCAATATGGGCAGAATTTTAGCTGAAGACTTATAATGAAGCCTAGACATTCATGCAGAAATTAAACAACTTGACCATTGTTAGAATATAGTAAACATATACATGTTCAATACCAGCCTCTTTTTTTCTCACTTTATGTTTTTTGAATGTCATTAGATTTACATAACCTGCTAACATGACATAAAAACAAACCTTAAGTTTCAAGAAATTAATAATTCTAGTTACATATTATTTATATGTTTTTCTTATTAACTATTAGTTATTTCAAACCTTACCTTTTATGTTTTGAGATAAAAAATATCTAATAGAAAGGTAGTTTTTTGAGAAGACTTCCTTTTTTATTATTTTTATATTTATTTCTTTATTTTTTTTTTTGAGACAACATCTTGCTATGTCACCCAGGTTGGAGTGCAGTGGCGTGATGTTGGCTCACTGCAACCTCTGCCTCCAAGGTTCAGGTGATTCTCCTGCTTCAGCCTCCTGAGCAGGTGGGATTAGAGTAGCATGCCACCACGCCTGGCTAATTTTTGTATTTTTAGTAAACATGAAGTTTTACCATGTTGGCTAGGCTGGTCTTGAACTCCTGACCTCAAGTGATCCATCCTCCTCAGCCTCCTAAAGTATTGGGATTACAGACGTGAGCTACTGCACCTGGCTCTTTTTTAATTATTTTGAAAGGATACTTTAGTTTTCCTAGTAATCCATGTGAATGTATTCTCTATGAACTATAGTGTGTGTGTTTACTTTTTATATATAGAATACTACTGAGGAACAAGCTGTTTCTGTAAATGAAATGGGACTGAACCTGTACCTTGGTTGTGTCCTACATGTTACAGAGACCTGGACAGAGACAATATGATCATCTCATGAACATCACATAATCTCCTGTCACAGTTCCAAGATAAAACATTTCCTTAAAATCAAGACTTGCTTTAATAACCATCACATTTATTACAATAATACCTTCCCACTCTAATCAATATGGATATAAACAGCCTTTGTTCTATTTTTCTCATACTTGGAAGACTTTTGCTTTCATTCCATGAAAATCTTGTATTTCTCCTCAGTTATTCTAATTAGAAAACTAGTGCTGGGGGGGAAAAATAAAACAGCACAGAAAGGAAAGGGGCTCCTGCAATGCACTGTTTAGACAGATAAGGTAGCCAGGCCAGACGATGGTCAGGTAGGGACTGCCTTCTCTCTGGTGGTGAGAACTGAGAATTGCTGAGAGGTGTGGAAGTGGAGCTGATTGAGCCAGAGCACTGTCCAGCTTTCTTCCATTTCTCTACATAAAATAATCCATAATCTTCAGGATTAAGACCTCATGATCTCATGTTTTGAGAAAGAGAGTTGAGAAACACCTACTAGTCTTATGATAGGTTGAGTACTTTAAAGAGTTTTGGGCCAGGTGTGGTGGCTCACACCTGTAATCCCAGAACTTTGGGAGGCTGAGGCACGTGGATTACAAGGTCAGGAGATCGAGTCCATCCTGGCCAACACAGTGAAACCCTGTCTCTACTAAAAATACAAAAAAATTAGCCGAGCATGGTGGCACGCACCTGTAGTCCCAGCTACTCGGGAGGCTGAGGCAAGAAAATCGCTTGGTGACAGAGTTAGACTCCATCTCAAAAAAAAAAAAAAAAAGAATTTTGAAGCTTCTTAATTCCATTTATTTAAGACATTATTCTCATTGGGATTAGGGGGGAATCCCTGAATTTTGGTAAAAACAAATCCAAGTCACAAAATCAGAAAAAAAAAAGGAAAGATATAGGATGATGCGTTTCATTCTTCATATGAATATGCATTTTACACATATATAACTAAGACCAATTTAGGATTTATTTCCAGGCTTGGGGATAACTTATGGAAACTTTTAACATTAAAGTTAAATTTGCAATTCAGAATTAATCCATACATTATTTCACAGTTTTCTTGTTGATATTAAATGTTGCTGACTCAGTAAAGTTTATTATTTGAATATAACAAGAATGTGTGAATTGTAAATTCCATGCTAAAGTCTGGAACATTTCTACAAAATTCAGTTTAGCAAATATTTGTTAAGACTTCAGTCAAAGCCTTTTACAACTGCACTGCTCTAGGTTTTGAGGACTCAAAATAATCTCTGCTCACAAACCAGACATGCAGACAAATAAGGTTCTATGTGTTAAGGTCAATAAGAGAATTTTGCTGAAGACAAAATATTATCGCAGACACAAAAAAATTAGCCAGGCATGGTGGCAGGTGCCTGTAATCCAAGCTACTCAGGAGGCTAAGGAAGGAGAATAGCTTGAACCCAGGAGGTGGAGGTTGCAGTGAGCCAAGATCACATCACTGCACTCATCTTGGGCAAGAGAGTGAGACTTCATCCCAAAAAAAAAAAAAAATCTTGATTCCTTTATCCCCTGTGCTTCATAGCATTCAGAGTCTTCCATATTTTCTGGGAGTTTCTTGGTTAGTTGGGCTTGGCCTCTCCTCACTTACTGTTGGTGCCTGCCCTCTTCTCTGTGCTCCAGAGCAGATCATGTTTTCTCTACTCAGTTCCATCTAGTGAGGAGACTCATCACACTTTCACCCCCAACTTAGCACCAAGCACAATTAATTCAAGACCACTATGTGGACGAGATAAGGGAGAATTACATCCCACGAAGAGCAGCAAAATGCATAAACATGCATATATATACACATATATGAATGTATATGCACATATACACACATATACATATATATGCATATAAATACACACATATATACACGTATACACATATACACACACACATATATACATGCATATATTGCCACCACTATCCTGAATTTCCTTATTTATTCCCATCAGAAGGAATTTCTCCACCCCACCCTACCATTTTCTTGGAACTTCTAGTCTCTCTCACATTATTAATTCTACACCTGGGGCTGCCTCGCCCCCTCTTGCTAACTGCCTGGTGGTAACTTGGCACTCCTCTTAGTTACTACTTAACGTTACAGCTCACCCTTTTTTACATCATATTTATGAAGCATTAAATATTCTAAAAGTGGCCAGGTGCAGTGATTCATGCCTGTAATCTCAGCACTTTGGAAGGCCAAAGTGGGCAGATCACAAGGTCAGGAGTTCAAAACCTCCTGACCAACAGGGTGAAACCCTGTCTCTACTACAAATACAAAAATTAGCTGGGCATGATGGCATGTGTCTGTAATCCCAGCTGCTCAAGAGGCTGAGGCAAGATAATCACTTGAACCTGGGAGGCAAAGGTCACAACGAGCCAAGATTTGTGTCACTGCACTCCAGCCTGGGTGACAGAGCAAGACCCTCAAAAACAAAACAAAAAAAAAACAAGCTACTTTGTCTAGGGTACCCTATTATACCAAGGAATTTAGTGCCTCATGAAAAAAGACTCTCAAAGATGTTTTTCTAAACAATAGAACCTTCTACCTTAGAAATCATTTATGATATTATCCAACATCATTATTTTTTATTTTATGTATATTTTCACTACAATAAAAATCTTTCAAATATATCAAAATACCATTTTATTAAAACAGAAAAGTTGTTTATTAGATAATCTTTTAATTTTAACATATTAATTTATCTATCGGGGTTCTATGTCATTCTCACTCAGGAAGAGAATTCAATAAATAAATCTGGTAGCTTCACATATCAGTAGAACTTTTGCACAAAAAATGGGCAATTTTTCATTTTTCAGAGTGAACACTGAGCCACCACCTGAGGAAAAATAAATGATCATTTTTAACAATTAAAGTTACTATTATTTTAATCATCTGGTCTTTTAAGATGTTTTTAGACTTATAGATCAAGATAAGAAGTTAGCATGCATTTATCTTTCTTTCAATTTGTATCCATCCCTAACTTATTTCTTCCTATTGTGCAATAACTCATTATTAAGCTGAGCTTCCATTTTACTCATTCATATTTATTTATGGGTCAGGCAAGTGAACTGCATACAAATTCACAAATTTTCTTTTTTTTTTTTTTTGAGATGGAGTCTCTCGCTCTGTCGCCCAGGCTGGAGTCAGTGGTGCAGTCTCGGCTCACTGCAAGCTCCGCCTCCAGGGTTCATGCCATTCTCCTGCCTCAGCCTCCCGATTAGCTGGGACTACAGGCACCCACCACCACACCTGGCTAATTTTTTGTATTTTTAGTAGAGACGGGGTTTCACCATGTTAGCCAGGATGGTATGGATCTCCTGCCCTCGTGATCTGCCCACCTCAGCCTCCAAAAGTCCTGGGATACAGGCTTGAGCAACCACGCCCGACCTACAAATTTTCTTTGTAACTAACTTACCTTATTATTAAATTGGTCTTCCTAATACTTATTTTTTTATTTTTTATTTATTTATTTATTTTTTTGAGATGGAGTCTTGCTCTGTTGCCCAGGCTAGAGTGCAGTGGTGCAATCTCAGCTCACAGCAACCTCCTCCACCTCCCGGGTTCAAGCCACTCTCCTACCTCAGCCTCCAGAGTAGCTGGGATTACAGGCATGCACCACCACGCCTGGCTAATTTTGTATTTTTGGTAGAGACAGGGTTTCTCTATGTTGGTCAGGCTGGTCTCAAACTCCCAACCTCAGGTGGTCTGCCCGCCTTGGCCTCCCAAAGTGTTGGAATTACAGGTGTGAGCCACCGCACCCAGCTGGTCTTTTAAAATTTGACCTAAACGGTTCATCCTGTCATGTTTTTCATGAGAGATGAAGGTCCACTATTTTTCCCTTGTTATTTTAATAAAAACAACTATTTACCTTGAATATACTGAATATACACAAAATACATATTCATTTACACACCATGGCTTTTTAAAAGGGTTGTCCTTAGATGTGGCCTCCAGGGATAGTTAAGCTCTAAATGGAAGGCTTCATATGTAAAGACAATTCCCTTTTGACCTTGTCTCTTATAGTGAGTGTGTGTGTGTCTGCTTTTAGTGGTAGAAGTTAAAGGGAATCTCTATGATTGTTTTTCTTTCTCTCCATTTATCTCTCACTTTCTTTCTTTCTTTTTTTTTTGAAACAGAGTGTTCCTTTGTCAGTGCAGTGGCGTGATCTCGACTCACTACGACCTCTCCCTCCTGGGTTCAAGTGATTCTCAAGCTCAGCCTCCCAGGTAGCTGGGGTTACAGGCACCCACCACCACGCCCTGCTAATTTTTGTATTTTTAATGGAGACGGGGTTTTGCCATGTTGCCCAGGCTGGTCTCAAATTCCTGAGCTCAGGCAATCCGCCCACATCAGCCTCCCAAAGTGCTGAGATTACAGGCATCAGCCACCATGCTTGGCCCCATTTATCCCTCATTTTAATATTTTTTTTAATTTTTTTTCTTTTTTTTTGAGATGGAGTCTTGCTCTGTCACCCAGGCTGGAGTGCAGTGGTGGGATCTTGGCTCACTGCAACTTCGGCCTCTCAGGTTCAAGCAATTCTCCTGCCTCAGCCTCCCAAGTAGCTGGGACTACAGGTGCCCACCACCACACCTGGCTGATTTTTTGTATGTTTAGTAGAGATGGAGTTTCACCATGTTAGCCAGGATGGTCTCAATCTCCTGACCTCATGATCCACCTGCCTCAGCCTCCCAAAGTGCTGGGATTACAGGCATGAGCCTCCTCACCTGGACTATCCCTCACTTTATAACGTTAATCAAGTTCTTTTATAATTTTATGTTAAAGATTTTTGAATTTTGTTAATCTATTTTATTTTCCTTCATAAAATGATCAAAGCTAAAAATAACATTACAAAGTATATCATAATCGTTAATAGAAAGAGCTTTATAATCAGCTTAAATTTCTTTTCTCTCTTTTCTAGTTATGTGATCTTAGGCAAGTTACATAAATTACCTGTGTTCAGTTTATTTATTTGTGAAATGGGGAAAATAATGGTGCCTGTTTCTGGGTAAGATTGTAGTGAGGGTGAATAATAGATTTATCAAGCATAAAGCAGTGCCTGGGACACAGGAATTGCCCTCTCTGCATGCCCCTACATATGTGTGCATACAGGCATGAATCACTTGATGATGGAATAAATTTGGAGAAATATGTCTTTAGGCAGTTTTGTTATTGTGCAAATATCTCAGCGTGTACTTACACAAACATAGATGGGATAGCCTACTACTCTGCTAGAGTATATGGTAGAGTATATGTAGCCTGTTGCTCCTAGGCTACAAATCTGTACAGCATATTACTGTACTAAATACTGCAGGCAACTGTAACACAGTGGTAGGTATTTTGCATCTTATCATAGAAAAGGTGCAGTAAAAAAAAAAGGGTACACTTGTAGAGGGCACTTACCGTGAAAGGAGCTTGCACAGCTGGAAGTTGCTCTGGGTAAGTGAGTGAGTGGTGAGTGAATATGAAGGCCTAGGACATTACAGGCACTGTTGTAGACTTTAGCAATACTGGATGCACACTTAAGCTATGCCAAATTTATTTTTAAATTGTTTTCTTTTATCAATAATAAATTAGCTTTAGCTTACTGTAATTTTTTTATTTAATATACTTTTTTTAACCTTTTGGCTCCTTTGTCACAACTCTTAGCTTAAAAGTTAAACATATTGTACAACTTTAAAAAATATTATTTTCTTTATATCTAAGTCTATAAGCTTTTTCCAACTTTTAATTTTTGTGTTACTTTTTAACTCTTTTATAAAAACAAACACAAACACGCACATTAGTTTAGGCCTATGCAGGGTCAGGATCATCAACATCATTGTCTTCCACCTTCATATTCTGTCTCAATGGAAGTTCCTTGGGGCAATAACACACATGAAGCTGTCATCTCCTATGATAACAATCCCTCCTTCTGGATACCTCCTGAAGGACCTGCCTGAAATTGCTCTACTGTTCAGTTTTCTTTTTCTTTTTTAATAAGTAGTACCCTCTCAAAACATGATAAAAAGGGCTAGGTGTGGTGGCTCATACCTGTAATGCAAGCAATTTGTGAGGCTGAGGCGGGAGGATCACTTGAGGGCAGCAGTTCAAGAGCAGCCTGGCCAACATGGTGAAACCCTGTTTCTACTAAAAATACAAAAATTAGGCAGGTGCGGTGGTGGGCACCTGTAGTCCCAGTTACTGGGGAGGCTGAGGCAGAAAAATCACTTGAAACCGGGAGGTGGAGGTTGCAGTGAGCCGATATCACACCATTACAACTCCAGCCTGGGCAACAAATGGAGACTCCATCTCAAAAAAAAAAAAAAAAAAAGGATAAAAAGAATAGAGTAGTAAATGTATAAACCAGTAATATTGTCACTTATTATCATTATCAGGTATTATGTTCTGTAATTAATTATATGTGCTAGAGGCCTGGCAGCACAATAGGTCTGTTTTCACCAGCATCAGCACAGACATGTGAGTAATGAATTGTGCAATGATATTACATTGACAATGACATCACTAGGAAACAGGAATTTTTCAGCTCCATTACAATCCTACAGGACCAATATATGGTCCACCATTTATTGAAATGTATTTACATGATGTATGACTGTAAAATTACTAGTCTTCAAAAATCAGTTGTATCTTCAACATTTCCTACCTCTGCAAAATTGATCACCATTCTCACAGTTACCCAGGCTTAAAACCTCAGAATTCTATCAAATTATTTCATTTCCTTACATCTCATGTTTAATTAGTCACTGATTCCCATCAATTTTCCTCTATCATTTTTAATAGTACCAACACATTATTTCTCTTAGAAAAATATTTTTCTAGTTTAGGCTCTTAATTTAGCCTATTTTTAAAATATCTCAAAGTTTGCCATACAGTCTTTATTTCTTATTTCTTGAAATATTTTCTACATTTTGATACAACTAACCTTTCTGAAGCATAAATATCTCACTTTGTCACTTGTCTGCTCAAAAAAAAACATAAAAATATCTTCTTGGTCTAGAAAGTAAAATTATAATGCTTGGCATGATGCAGACAGAAATTCCCATTTATCATTTTTCTCCTTTGCCCCCACACTTTTCTTCCATGTTCACACCAGTACCTAATGTCCCAGACATATGGAATTCATTGTCTCATGAATAGAGTCAACACATTCTTACTACCATGCATTTAGTCAAACCATCTGGCCACCTGGAATTTCCTACCATCCCCCATAAAATTTAAATTAAAAAATTCCACTGTTCTGTCCTCTCCGAATATGTCCCTGAACCTTTATTGAAACTTATTGACATATCCTTTGGTTCCCGCAGCCTTTATGGTATATGTCATAATTTAGCATATACATTACTCTGCCGTACATTTTAGTAAGTTAATGACCTGTCTCTTTTCACTGATAAAACAGTGTCAGGCTTTTTTCATTTTTGTATTCCCTACTGGTCCACAGAGTGTTATGAACATATAATGTGCTAAGTTATTTTTAAATTGACTTAAACTTACTGGTGAATTCACCGATTAACTGTTCTTTTCCAGTATTACTCTTAGAAATGTCCTTGCCTTGATATATTTTATGTTCTAAAAAAATTAATTTCATTTTAAGAATCACATCCTCCAAAACAAAAGAAACAAAAGCTCCCATACAATTCTAATTCTAGTTATAGGTAACATTAAAAAATGGCATACCAATTGTAAAAAACAAAAACAAAAAGCAAACAAAAACAAACAAACAAACAAAACAATTCCCATGAAAGCCAGAGGCAAACAATGCAAATTTTAATGTCAACATTGTCATTTTTTTCCTAGGTTAGGGGACAATATAACCACATTTATAAACTTGTTCTTTTTTGTCTCTCTTCGTGTTGACCTCACACATAGCATAGTATGCCATTAAAACAACAAAAAAAGGAGAAAATGCTATATTGAAATACAGTATTTTCTTACAACAATTCCTTACTGTGAATTGTGAATGAAAATTAAATTCTTTAATCACTAGGAAAGACTCTGAGTGTGCGAATCTTTCTTTCAGCTGATATAAACATTGATAAGATCAAAGCTTGCTCTAAATTATCTGTCTTACCAGGTCTTGACTGAATCTCAGAACAAAATCCTGTAGTTTCTCTTTATTTCAGACAAACCTTTGATCTTTTAAAAATATAGGCACAGATGGGCACAGTGGCTCAGGCCTGTAATCTCAGCAGTTTGGGAGGCCGAGGCAGGCAGATAACGAGGTCTAGATATCGAGACCATCCTGGCCAACATGGTGAAACTCTGTCTCTACTAAAAATACAAAAACTAGCTGGGCGTGGTGGTGCACACTTGTAGTCCCAGCTACTCAGGAGGCTGAGGCAGGAGACTCGCTTGAACCTGGGAGGCTGAGGTTGCAGTGAGATGAGAAGGTGCCATTGCACTCCAGCCCGGGCAACCAAGCGAAATTCCATCTCAAAAAATAAAAAGATAAATAGGCAAATCTGGCTAAGGAAATGGCAAAAAGGCAGAAAGATATACACAAAAAAAATTAGCCACTAATTGCATTGAAAATGGGTTTAAGTTTAAGGTTTTGGCAAGTGTTTGAGAAAAATATGAATTAAGCTCATTTTCTGTGGAGACAAGTCTCTAGGCGTTTAGTTTTGGTTAAGGTAAATACTTAAATCTATATAAAATTTTAAAGACCTTAGTAATGTAAACAAATGGTGTTGAGTTTGGACTTCTCTTCAATATCTATGTGGAATCTTAGGAAAGGAAGAGTGAAAGGATACAATACATTTTGAATGGTAGTTCAGCCTAAATCCTAAGCATAAGCATAATACGCTGCTGCACTTTTTTTTTTTTGACAGAGCCTAACTCTGTCCCCCAGTCTGAAGTGCAGTGGTGCCATCTTGACTCACTGTAACCCCAGTCTCCTAGATTCAAGCTATTCTCCTGCCTCAGCCTCCCAAGTATCTGGGATCACAGGCAGACACCAGCCATGTCCAGCTTGTTTTTTGTTTTTGTGTTTTTTCTTTTTTTGGAGACAGAGTCTTGCTCTGTCGCCCAAGCTGGAATACAATGGCACAACCTCCGCTCACTGCAACCTCCGCTTCCCAGGTTCAAGTGATTCTCCTGCCTCAGCCTCCTGAGTAGTTGGGATTACAGGCACGCACTGCCATGCCCAGCTATCTGCCTCCCAGGTTCAAGCGATTCTTCTGCCTCAGCCTCTTGAGTAGCTGGGATTACAGGCATGTGCCACCATGCCTGGCCAATTTTTGTATTTTTAGTAGAGACAGGGTTTCACCATGTTGGTCAAGCTGGTCTTGAACTCCTGACCTCCTGATCCACCTGCCTCAGCCTCCCAAAGTGCTGGAATAATAGGCGTGAGCCACTGTGCCCAGCCCATTTTTTGTATTTTTAATAGAGGTGAGGTTTCACCATGTTGACCAGGCTGATCTCGAACTCCTGACCTCAAGTGATCTGCCTGCCTCCACCTGCCAAAATGCTGGGATTACAGACAAGAGCCACTATGCCTAGCCAATATGTTACTTTTAAAAAATAAGTTATTCGTTTTAGTTTTCTTCTGTTGCTAACAATCATTTCTATTTTGTAGGGAAAAGGAAGAGGGATCAGACTGTTACTGTGTCTAGGTAGAAAGGGAAGACATAATAAATTTCATTTTGACCTGAACCTTGAACAATTGCTTTGCCCTGAGATTCTGTTAATCTGTAACTTTGCCCCAATCACTTTGCCCCAACCTCTTTGCCCCAACCTTGAGCTCACAAAAACATGTGTTGTATGGAATCAAGGCTTAAGGGATCTAGGGCTGTGCCTTGTTAACAAAATGTTTACAAGCAATATGCTTGGTAAAAGTCATTGCCATTCTCTAGTCTCAATAAACCAGGGGCACAATGCACTGTGGAAAATGGCAGAGACCTCTGCCCTGGAAAGCCAGGTATTGTCCAAAGTTTCTCCCCATGTGATAGTCTGAAATATGCCTCACGGGACGAGAAAGATCTGACCATCCCCCAGCCTAACACCCATAAATGGTCTGTGCTGAGGTGGATTAGTAAAAGAGGAAAGCCTCTTGCAGTTGAGATAGAGGAAGGCCACTGTCTCCTGCCTGCTCCCGGGAACGGAGTGTCTCGGTATAAAACCCGATTTTACATTTGTTCAATTCTGAGATAGGAGAAAAAACACTCTATGGTGGGAGGCAAGACATGTTGGCAACAATGCTGCTTTATTGTTCTTTACTCCACTGAGATGTTTGGGCAGAGAGAAACATAAATCTGCCTACGTGCACATCCAGGCATAGTACCTCCCCTTGAACTTAATTATGACACAGATTCTTCTGCTCACATGTTTTTTTGCTGACCTTCTCCCTATTATCACCCTGTCCTCCTACCACATTCCTCTTGCTGAGATAATGAAAATAATAATCAATAAAAACTGAGGGAACTCAGAGGCCGGTGCCAGTGCAGGTCCTTCGTATGCTGAGCGCCGGTCCCCTGGGCCCACTTTTCTTTCTCTATACTTTGACTCTGTGTCTTATTTCTTTTCTCAGTCTCTCATCCCACCTTACTAGAAGTACCCACAGGTGTGGAGGGGCTGGCCACCCCTTCATATTTTCACTTAATTTACTCTGAATCCATGCCACTTTTGCATTTGAGGCTAATGTTTGTATTGAAGGAAAGGATAGCAAGTCAATTTACAATTGGATTTTTTCAATGTATAGAGTTACATGTTTACTAAAAGGAGGAGACCTTAATTCTTTTTAAAAAGCCCATAGCAAGCAAGATAATTAACAATTTTTATATGAACAAATGTCTTACAATATTTTAAGCATCTAGAGAACACTGATACCATCTTCACTTATTGACAATGGCATATTATCAATTCACTTTTCCAAAGAGATAGAAGTTACTTCTTTTGACTTAGATCTGACTTTGTAAACTGTCAAATGAAGTAGCTGAGTATAACTCACCACCTACAACTTTGATATTTAGCCTCCTCTCTTCATTTGCTTTGTATTATATGTACTGCAGCCCTTACTTTAATATTTCTATATCTTACACATTTTTCTCTCTTAAAAATGTGCTTTCATTTAGATGAGAAATACAATTTTAAGGGAGAAGTTGACTCATGCCTAGTTCTGTATTTTTTTTAATTGCTGATATGTCCTGAGGAAATTAATTTTGCCCCACTGGGTATGATGCTGTCCCTCTGGAGAGATTCCTGTGAGTTATGACCACTGGGGATTTTATAGGTGTCCACATTAAGCCTTTCACTGAGAGCAGAGATTAACTTGCAGTTGCCTCTCTGACACAAATATATCTAAGAAATCAACATAATCTTTCAAAACCCTCCCAGCTAATACTAGTTTGTAGCCACTATTAATACAGTGGTTCTAAGTTTGTTCCAGGGTCTCAAAGCCTTAAATCATTTCATGAAAGCCTACTGCAAATGTCAACATATAATGCTTACAAGGACATAACTGGGTGTTTCACACTATTATTTCAGTTTTAACCCACTTGATCCATCAAGTTATCTGTCATAGAACAAATGAAAGGCCCCTTTAGGGAAGTCTCAGAATAAAAAATAGGCCTAGTTATGTTCATTGGGAGAGAAGTAAATAAAGCATGGGTTTACATTCTCTGTCTACAAGAAATTGTCATTGTAGCTGTTATTTGTTTCAAAATCTGTGTACAGTTCTGACCCACCAACTGACAATGGCTTCCTGACTCTAACACTCAGGTGTGTTATTGTAAATTCCCTGAGTCTTCTTTATAGCAAGAGAAAAAATCAGGACATTCTGAAAGTAATACACTGTGGATATTTACATGGCCAGAGTATAATTTTCTCTGCTTAATAATAAAACTTAATAATGAGCTTAATAATAAAACTCACATACAAATACAAAATAAACCTCTGTCAAAATTTATTTCACTTATTCCTGAGGAAATCAGTAGGTGGGGAAGCTGGTTCCAAGAACAAGTAAAAAAAAAATTACAGATTTTTTCCCCCAAAAACAAGAAATGTTAGAATAAGACAACTATGTTAGAAGCAAAACTGGGCCGGGAGTGCTGGCTCACACCTGTAATCCCAGCACTTTGGGAGGCCGAGGCGGGCGGATCACGAGGTCAGGAAATCGAGACCATCCTGACTAACACGGTGAAATCCGGTCTCTACTAATAATACAAAACCAAAATCAGCCGGGCGTGGTGGCCTGTAGTCCCAGCTACTCAGGATACTGAGATAGGAGAATGGCGTGAACCCAGGAGGTGTAGCTTGCAGTGATCCCAGATTGTGCCACTGCACTTCAGCCTGGGCGACAGAGCGAAACTCCGTCTAAAAAAAAAAAAAAAAAGAAACAAAATTGATTAATAACAACAAATAGTACTGGGTAAACTGGATATCCACAGGCAAAATATAAAGTTTGGGCCCTTAACTTACATAATATACAAAAATAAGCTAAAATAGATCAAAGAGTTAAAAGTAACAACTACAACCCTTAAACTCTTAGAAAAAAAAAACAAAGAAAATATTCTTTATGTTAGATTTAGCAATGATTCCTTAGATATGACATCAAAGGTACAGGGAATGAAAAAAATAACAAAAAAATTAGTTTCATCAAAAGTAAAATTTCTGTGCATTAAAAGTCACCGTTGACCAGGTGTGGTGGCTCACGCCTGTAATCCCAGCACTTTGGGAAGCTGAGGCGGGTGGATCACAAGGTCAGGAATTTGAGACCAGCCTGGCCAATATGGTGAAACCCCATTTCCACTAAAAATACAAATATTAGGTGGGCATGGTGGTGTGCACCTGTAATCCCAGCTACTTGGGAGGCTGAGGCAAAAGAATCACTTGAACCTGGGAGGCAGAGGTTGCAGTGAGCTGAGATTGTGCCACTGCACTCAAGCCTGGGCGACAGAGCGAGACTCCATCTCAAAAAAAAAAGTCACCCTCAAGACAGTGGAACAACAACTCAAAGAATGGGAGAAGATGTCTGCAAATCACATATGTGATATGACATCAGTATATGTGGATATAATATGTATAATAGAATAAAGAACTCCAGCAACTCAACAATAACAAATGGTTCAATTTGTTAAATAGGCAAAGGACTTGAATAGATAATTATCTAAAGAAGATATACGAATGGCCAACAAGCACATGAAAAGAGGCTCAATATCACTAGCATTAGAAAAACACAAATGAAAATAATGATGAGATATCATTTCACACCCATTAGGATGATTACAAAAAAGAAACCCCAGAAAATAACAAGTGTTAGTGAGGATTCAGAGTCAATGGGAACCCTTGTGCATTGCTGGTGGGAATGTAAAATGGTGTAGCTTCTGTGGACAACAGTTAGGTGGCTCCTCAAAGGTTAAACATAGAACTACTATGTGATCCAGCAATTCTATGCCTATATACATGCCCAAAGTAATTGCAAATAGAGACTCCAACAGATATTAACCACCAATGTTCACAGTACCATGATTTACAGTAACCAAAAGCAGGAAGCAACTCAAATATTCATCAATAAATGAATGAATAAACAAAATACACCATATTCACATAATGGAAACTTATTCAGCCTTATTAAGGAATGAAATTCTAATATACACTACAGAATTTCAATGATTACAACATAGGTAAACTTTGAAAACATTATGCTTAGTGAAATAAGCCAGATGCAAAAGGATAAATATTGCTTGAAGTACTTAGAATAAGCAAATCATAGAGACAGAATAATGATTACCAGGGACTAGTGTGGGTGAGAAGTTATTGTTTAATGGGTACAGAACTTCTATATGGGATGATTAAAGAGTTCTGGAAATGGATGGTGGTAAAGGTTGTGCAATTGGGTGAATATAATGCCTTCTGAACTGTTCATTTAAAATTCATTAAAGTGATAAATTTTAGATTATGTGTATTTTACCACAATTTAAAAAAGAAAAATAAAGAAAACATATGTATTCCCAATTGCACTGTATTTTTGGTTATTAAGCATAAAATTTAAACTTTATAAAGCTTATTAGAAAAAGGGAATTGGAAATGTGATATAATGCAGTAATTCACAAAAATGTATACAGTAAATGCACTCAAGAGCAGTTTTTCTGATGCTTGATGAACTCCTATCAGTTGTGAATTAAAACTGATTAATATCCTTCATGGAAACAGATCCATAAGGTCTGGCATTGTCTTTTTCTACTAGAGAGAAACCTAGAAGTTATCACATAATTGCATAGCATCTAGAATCAAATCAACTAATACATAGCCAAGTCAAAAGAAAATGAAGTAATCTTTGGGTTGGCCTTTTAGTTGATAGCTTTTAATAATGAAATATTACACTAAAAATACATGTGTTATGTCAGAGTTTTAGATACTTTTCCTTAGCAGTCCCCTATTACAAATATGTCCTCTGTTAGTGCTAATCCATAACTAACTCAATTCCTTATTTTCATGTCAATAATCTCCAAGTGTTATTCTTTTTTTCTTTTGAGACAGAGTCTGGCTCTGACTCTCAGGCTGGAGTGCAGTGGTACGATCTCGGCTCACTACAGGCTCCGCCTCTGGGTTCACGCCATTATCCTGCCTCAGCCTCCAGAGTAGCTGGGACTACAGGTGCCCGCCACCATCCCCAGCTAATTTTTTGTATTTTTAGTAGAGACGGGGTTTCACCATGTTGGGCAGGATGGTCTCGATCTCCTGACCGCGTGATCCGCCCGCCAAAGCCTCCCAAAATGCTGGGATTACAGGCGTGACCCACTGGCTTGGCCTCCAAGTGTTATTCTTAATCAAAAAAAGAAAAAGTTTATCTGACTATATTTGACCCTGATTATTTATGTAGCTTCAGAAAGAGGAGTTAAACACATAGGTGAAGTCTTCCCTCCACCAGGTTATAAAATGTAAGATTCATGGCCTTCTGAAAACACTCCCTTACCAATGTGAGGCTGGAACCATAGAACAGGTGGAGGATTTAGTAGGTGTTGGCTCAACATTTAAAGTACAATCTTGTTTCTTAATAGGTGTTTTCATACCTTATAAACACAGGTATGGCCTTGGATGTCCAATTAAATCCCAGGAAAAAAGGACAGATTCTTGATGAAGCTATGCAAATAATGAGACAGCAAGTAAAAACGGGTCCCCGGCAGAACCTTCGACCAGCTTGCACACTGGCAGGAGTGCACACTGAGGTGGAGCCTCGGGAAGTTTGCAGCAGGGAGGAGCCTGGCCTCTTCTGTTCCAGGGCGGAGGCTGGGATTCAATCTATGAGGCAGGAAGCTGGGTAGCAGGACTCACTTTACTGACAGTCTCTGTTTCCCCTTTTTTCCCTTTCGCCAATAAATTCCATTTTTCTCACCCTTCAAAGCGTCTGTGAGCCTAATATTTCATGGCTGTGTGACAAGAATACAGCTTTTAGCTGAACTAAGGAGAAAGTCCTACAATAATAATATGTTGTCCTACAAGCATGCAGAGTAAGTACAAATATATTGTTCTGAATTCTCAGAGAAAAATAGAAACGAGACAGCGTTTGAATGATGTATTTCACTTACAAGGTGTAGTATATAAAATTGAGGATCAGAAATAGAAAAAGAAACTGTGTAATTCATACTCCTTCTACTGGATGTTGAGTCAGTTTTTTGCTTTGATAAAATTATCTACCAATGAGGCAAAGAGATAAATCCTTAAAACAATGAGATTTAAAAGTAAGTTGTTATGCTCAGTACTTTATAGGAGAACATTCAAGTAAGTGTCAGAGGAAAACAAAAACCAACTAGAGATGCAACTAAATGGCTGTTTAATTTATATAGTAAACAATAATATGAAAATGGAGAAGAATGAACTTCTGCATTAGGTTCAATACTATCTCATAAAGACTTGACCAATGTTTCACCTGGGGGCATATACCTCTCCAATTTCCTATTACAGTCTCTAATCTATGAGTTAAATGTCTACAGTTCCTAAACAATTCACCTTTTTTTTTTTTTTTTTGAGACAGAGCATCCCTGTGTCACCGGGCTGGAGTGCATTGGTTCGATCTTGGCTCACTGCAACCTCTACCTCCTGGGTTCAAGTGATTCTCCTGCCTCAGCCTCCTGAATAGATGAGACTACAGGCATGCACCACGACGCCCAGCTAGTTTTTGTATTTTTAGTAGAGATGGGGTTTCACCATGTTGGCCATGATGGTCTCCATCTCTTGACCTCCTGATCTGCCTATCTCAGCCTCCCAAAGTGCTGGGATTACAGGTGTGGGCCACCGCACCCCACCACCATTCATCTTAATATGTAAGATTACATAAAATGAACTGAGAAGGCTGAGCCCTTTAGAATTGACCTCATGCAACTCACGCAGATGTGTGGAACTAATGAAGAAATATGGGGTACACCAAAGAAGTCCAATTTATTTTAGCCTCACTCATTTTATAAGGCAAAAATTGTCACAGTTTTTCTAGAGGTCACCTAGGAAATCTAAAATATACTTATTTTTCCCTAAAAATCAGAAAACATTTACTTTTTGTAATTTAACATATAATTTCAGATGGACAAAAATTAAGTGTTATCAGAGGAGATTTGGTCACTATGATAAAGATAGGAATACAGGTGCAGAGAAGAAAATGGTGGCAATAATCCCAATAACAATACAATATTCTAAAATAAGCATAGAAAAAGATATCATAATTGTTAGAAAATGTATCCCTTTCATAATTAATTATGCTGTACAAATGTTTTTTCTTATTTTTCTTTCTAGCTTCATTGAAGTATGATTGATAAATAAAAATTTTACATATTTAAGTTATATAATATGATGTGATGTGTGTATACATTGTGAAATAATAGCCACAGTCAATTAACATTTTCATCAACTTACAAAGTTACACTTTCTCTGTGTGTGTCTATGTGTGCTTGTATGGAAATACGTAAGACCTACCCTGTTAGCAAAATTCAAGTATACAATACTTTCTTATCAGCTGTAGCTACTATGCTATATGTGTTAGATATCCAGAATTTATTCACCTTTTAACTAAAAGCATCTCCCCATTTTTCCTACCTTCTAATCCCTAACATCTAATGAGTTTAAATTTTTTAGATTTCACAGATAAGTGAGATTATGCAGTATATTTGTCTTTCTGTGTCTCGCTTATTTTACTTAGCATTAAGTTCTCTCAGTCCATCAATGTTATCACAGATTTTAGGATTTCCTTCTTTTCTCAGGATGAATAATATTCGATTGTATGTATATGCCACATTTTCTTTATCCACTAGTCTGTAATAAAGGCTATTATTCAAAATACACAAGAAACACTTCAAATTTCACAAGAAAGTAAACAATTCAGTTAAAAATGGGGAAACAATATAAATGGAGGAGCCACCAAAGGAAATATAAAAATGGCAAAAAAGTATTTGAAAATATATTCAACAGCATATGACTTTAGGGGGATAAAGCAATTCTATATATTGAAATTTCCTTTAACAAAGAAAGCAAATAGAAAACTTTCTCAGAAAAACAAAATTTAAGTGATTGTCAGCTGACCTGTCTTGCAAGAAATACTAAAGGAAGTTCTTCAAGGGGAGAGAAAATGATGCAAATGAGAAATTCAGATCCACAATAAAGAAATACATGAAAAAGAATAAATTAAAGTTAAAAACTTTTTTTATTCTTATTGATCCATAAGATAACTGTTCAGTAACAAAAAATGGGTAATTATAGAATGTGGATAGATGAAATGAACAATAGCAATGTCATAAGGTACAGGAGGTACAATCTAGTAGTATTTTTATGAGATACCTACACTACATGTGAAGTAACAATTTTATTTGAAGATAGACCTAAACTGTATATAATCAATTCTAATTAATTTAAAGATAGACTTAAAATGCATATAATCAATTCTAAAAAAACCACCACAAGTTTTTAAAAGAAGTGATGAGATCACATCTCATGAGGTGATGAGATACACCAAGAGCTGAGACAAAAATGCAATCATAGAAGATGCTCAATTAAAATAAGAGGAGGCAGGCCAGGCACAGTGGCTCATGCCAGTAATCCCAGCACTTTGGGATGACAAGGTGGGTGGACCACCTGAGGCCAGCCTGACCAACATGATGAAACACCGTCTCTATTAAAAATATCAAAGTTAGCTGGGTGTTGTGGCACACATCTGTAATCCCAGCTACTCTGGGCTGAGGTGGGAGGATCACTTTAACCTGGGATGTGGAGGTTGCAGTGTGCCAAGACCACCACTGCACTCCAGCCTGGGTGACAGAGTGAGGCTCTATCTCAAAATAAAATAAAATGAAATAAAAATAAATGAATATAATTAATGTTTATATTCTACTTCAACAAAAGTAGAATACACATTCTTCTCTAGTTTGTACAAGACAGACTGCATTATGGGCCATAAACGTCTTAAAATTTTTCAAAGAATAAAGTTCATACAAAGTACACACTCAGACCACAATAAAAATTAAAGTAGAAATAAATAACAGGAAGAACTGAAAAATTTTTCAAATATTTGAAGACTTAACAAAACATCTAAGTGCATCCCAAAAGAAGACTAAAGAGTAATTAAAATATTTGGAATTAAATGGAAATGGAATCACAACTTACTAAAATATATGAGATACAGTAGAACTAGTACCTAAATTTATAGCATTAAATATATATTATTATGAAAAAAGAGATAAAATCAATAACTTAAGCTTCTGCCTTAAGAAACTAGAAAAAGAAAATCCAAAGTAAGTAACAAGGGAAAAAATATATAAAGTATAGCAGATATCAGTAAAATAGAAAACAGGAAAACAATAGAGAAAATCAATGAAATAGAAAGCTGTTTCTTTGAAAAGATCCATAAACTTGCTAACATTTAGACAAAGTAACAAAGAAAAAAAGAGAGAATGCACAACTTACAAATATTGGAAGTGAAAGAGGGGTATGGGTTATGACTACTGATTTTGTGGACATTAAAAGGATAATATATTTACTATATTAAAAACTCTATACTCACAAGTTCAATAACCTATATAAAATGGACAAATACCTTGAAAGACACAATATGCCAATACTCACAAAAGAAAAAATAGATAACATGAGTACTTTTATATCTATAAAAGGAATTAAATAAATAGTTAATAACCCCCCCCCCAACAATGGTTCCAGGCCCAAATGGCTTTAGTGGTGAATTCTATCAAGCATTTAAAGGAGAAATTATACCCATTTTCCACAGACTTTTCAAGAAAATGGAATTAGAGATAACACTTCCTAACTTATTCTATGAGGTAAATATTACCCTTACTAAATCCTATAGACATAACATGAAATAAAATCAATATATCAATATCTCTCATAAACAAAGATCCAATAATCCTTCACAAAATACTAGACAATTGAATCTAACTATGTATTTATTCTAGGTAAGACTGTATGCAAGACTGATTCAATATTAGAAAATTATCTGCAGAATTTCCTAAATCTGCAGGAAGAAAAATCATGTGACTGTATCAACTGATGTAGAAAAAGCTTATGGCAAAATCTATCACCCATCTATAATTTGAGAAACTCTCAGAAAACTAGGAATTGAGGTGAATTTTCTTAACTTGACAAAGAACATCTACAAAACCCCTAAAACTATCATACTTAATGATGAGAAGTGGGATGCTTTTTCCCAAAAACCAGGAGCAAGAAGAATTTTTTTTGTTTTTTTTCTTTCACCACTTGCAAAATGAAACCACCACTTTGGAAGACAGATGGGCAATTTCTTATGCCCATAGTTGCTATACTATATGTAAAAAAAAAAAAAAAAGGTCTTACATATAATATAGCAATTGTGTTTTTTTTGTTTGTTTTGAGATAGAATCTTGCTCTGTCACCCAGGCTGGAGTGCAGTGGTGCAATAGAAGGATACTGCAACCTCCACCTCCTGGGTTCAAACAATTCTCCTGCCTCCGCCTCCAGAGTAGCTGGGACTACAGGCACCTACCACCATGCCCGGCTAATTTTTTTTTTTTGTCTTTTACTAGAGACAGTATAACTTGTTGATTTGGGAAATTTTACCATGTGGCCCAGGCTGGTGTCCAACTCCTGAGCTCAGGCAATGCAACCGCCTCAGCCTCCCAAAGTGCTAGGATTACAGGCGTGAGCCACCACGTCTGGCTGCAAATGTGTTTTTAGGTGTTTATCCACTTTATTTGAAAACTATGTCCACACCCAAACTGGCACATGAATATATATATAGCAGTTTGTTTATAATTCCTGAAACTGGAAGAAACCAAGAGGTCTCATAATTGATGACTGGAAAAAAAAAAAAAAACCACTGTGATACGTCATATAAGGGAATATTACTTCCTAAAAAAGTAAATGATCTGGCAAAAGATTCATTGAGGAGGTTTAATAAGTGAAGCCCGTGGGCGTTATTTGGACCAGTCAAAGTATTCTGTATGATACCACAACTGTGGAAACATGAGAGTATGCATTTGCGTTTGTTTTTTTTTTTGTTTTGTTTTGTTTTGTTTTTTGAGATGGAGTCTGCTCTGTCGCCCAGGCTGGAGTGCACTGGCACGATCTCGGCTCACTGCAAGCTCCGCAACCCAGGTTCACGCCATTCTCCCACCTCAGCCTCCCGAGTAGCTGGGACTACAGGTGCCTGCCACCACGCCCGGCTAATTTTGTTTTTGTATTTTTAGTAGAGACGGGGTTTCACCGTGTAGCCAGGATGGTCTCTGTCTCCTGACCTCGTGATCTGCCCGCCTTGGCCTCCCAAAGTGCTGGGATTACAGGTGTAAGCCACTGCACCCGGCCTGCATCTTTTAAAAAACAAAGAATCTCACAGCACAAAGAGTGTCACTTATATGTATGCAAATTTTAAAACAACAGCAACAACAACAACAAAGTAGGTGTTCTGGGGATCCTGGGATGGAATGCAGAATGTGATAAAAAATCTAAAGTACTACAAATGTATAAAGCCACTTCACTCTAGGGAGTGGGAAAAACGTGCTGACATAAACATCTTAGAAAATGGATGGGCCTTCCGTGGTGGCTCACACCTGTAATCTCAGCACTTTAGGAGGCCAAGGTGGCGGATCACCTGAGGCTGGGAGTTTGAGATCAGCCTGGCCAAAATGGTGAAACCCCGTCTCTACTAAAAAGACAAAAATTATCTGGACATGATGGCAGGTGCCTGTAATCCCAGCTACGCAGGAGGCTGAGGCAGGAGAATCGCTTGAACCTGGGAGGTAGAAGTTGCAGTGAGCCGAGATCACGCCACTGCACTCCTGCCTCAGCCTGGGCAAGAAGAGCAAAACTCCATCTCAAAAAAAAAAAAAAAAAAAAAAAGAGAAAAGAAACAAAGAAAATGCATGAAGACTGAAAGGAAGAGAAACTGCAAACAACTCATGTGATCTGGTTGGTATAGCTGTTTCCTAAAGGAAATGGGATAGCGATTCTGATATTGATAGAGAATAAATGTATATTGGAACTAGACAGTTAAGCAAATGATGACAAATGACAGGAGCCTGCTTTCTCACTATTAAAGTGGGAGCTTACATGTAAGCAAGGGGAGAAGACCAGAATGATCATGTGATAAAAGAATTGAGTCTTAGACATCAGTATGAACTAACACTTACACACATTACATTTAGAAATATTTATAGTTATGTCTATACACAGCTTTGTATATGCACATTTATTTCTTTGCTTTGTAAGCTAAGACGGTCCAGAACCAATGATATCCCAGAAGAAATGAGCATATCTAACACTCAAGTCTTCAATTCTTGGGTTTTTGTTCATGACCCGGGATCCAGCAGTTGGGGCCTGGGGCTGGGCATTGTGTAGCCTCTGGGGTGGTGCTGAGCATCCATTTCCACTCTCCTGCAGCTGGGGACCCATCCCTTGACTTGGGCCCCCTGGAGGCAAGAACATGGTCACCCACTTTAATCACATGGTCCCTATCACATAACCAGAGGGCGCTGTGGGTTTTAACTCTTCAAGCTTGATGTGTAAAGAATTCCACATAGATATGATATAGTGACTAGAAGTCTTTTATTTATTTATTTTGAGAGAGAGAGTCTCTGTTGCCCAGGCTTGGAGTGTAGCGGCACAAACAATCAAACAATAACCAAAATCCAGAAGACTGAAAAAGTCAAATGCTGTCAAGGATGTGGAGCAACAGGACCTCTCATTCCTTGTTTGTGGCACAATCAATTTACTGTACCCACGATCTCCCGGGTCCAAGTGATCCTCCCACAATCAATCTCCCAAGTAGCTGGGGCCACAGGCATGCACCACCATGCCTGGCTGATTGGTTTTATTTTTATAGAGATGAAGTTTCCCTGTGTTGTCTAAGCTGGTCTCAAACTCCTGGGATCAAATGATCCTCCTATCTCGGTCTCCCAAAGTGCTGTAAGTACAGGCATGAGGTCCTGCACCCAGCCTGGAAGTCTTTATAGATAAGTTCAATTTAACTGTTTCTCCATCTGCTCTACTCAGCCAAGTTTACCTCTCAGTCCAAGGGGGAGAACTGCAGCTCAGCCCCATCCAGGATGGCTGCAGATTACCCAGCGCCACCGCCATACTCCAGATGCTGGTCAACGAGGAAGGGATCCTGAGGCCTGGCAGCTGGCGCTCTCAGCAACCTTGAAGCCCTCTAAATTGGATCCGCCATCCGTGCCTGTCAGAACAGTAGCCACTACCTGCACTTGGCACACAGGCAAATATGGCGAAGCAACCCCAAACTCTCCTCTTCCCCTCTGGGCCCAGGCAGCTCTGAACCTGCCACTCAGCCCCATACTGGCGACTGCACAGTCCCCAGAGTCTGCAAACCAGCGCTCAGGGTGCGAGCCAAGGAAGAGCAGGGCCTAGAGTGGGGGGGCGTGTGCCACACGGCGACCTTCAGGCCGTCGGGCCCAGCCCTGCAGCTTCTACCATGGGATCAGCTGCAGCTGGCATTTGAAGGTGGCAGCAGCGGTGGCAACACCAGAACCTGCCCACGCCACCAGCAGGCGAACCCCAGGGTCGGACACGGCCACTGCGCCTAAGTCAGGCAGTGGGACCTCAGTTGCAGGAGGGTGGGAACCTGCCGCAAAGCCTCATCGCTGCAGCTGTACAGGGCCCAGTGGTGGCGAGCCTGCGCTGCCAGCGCGAGCCGAGGAAGAGCAGAGCCCCGGGTGGAAGGGCGATGTACTCGGCAATGCTCAGTGGTCTGGGCCCAGCCCTGTAGCCTCTACCATGGGCTCAGCTGCAGCTGCCACCTGAACATGGCACGTGGCAGCAGAGGCTGCAACCCCGACCCTGCCAGCGCCACCAGCAGCGTGGATACTTGGGCCAGAAGCCTCCAGGGCGCCTAAGTCAGGGGTTGGGTCCTTGGCTGCAGGAGGGCGGGAACCGATGCTCAGCGCCACCCCAGAGGCTGCAGGATGCCCAGCTCCAGGGCCCAGCTCCTGGATCTCAGGTTGAAGAGGGGCCAGGGGCGGCTCTGTCAAGCAGGCCGTGTGGCAGGGGGTCCCCCACTTTCCGCTCCAGGGAGCCCCGCCAGCCCGACAGCGCCTCAGTGGCAGGTGCCACCTGCAGGTGGTGCTGGGCGAAGCGCAGCCAGGGCAGTTTCCCGCCTGGCGTGTCTCCCCAGTCTGCTGAGTTGCGCATGTGCTGTTTCCTAAGGGTTCTGCTCAGCTGCCTAAAGGTTCTGCTCAGCTGCCTAACGGTTCTGCTCAGCTGCCTAATGGTTTTGCGCAGCCCTTTTCTCCCAGGAGAGGCTGGAGTGTCCAAAAGCTTGGCCCGACTGAGATTTCTACTGGTGTCAGGGCGGGTGCGGGGACTGAAGAAGGGCGAGGGCGAGCGGCGGGGACTGGGGAAGGGCGAGTAGCGGGAGGTGCGGGCGCTCTCTAGCAGGTGGCTGCAGCCATGGAGAGGCTCTCTGCCGCCGCTGTCAAGGGCCAGACGGGCCTGGAGTGCCCGAGCCCCTTCAGTCAGCTGGTCTACACCAACAATGACTCTTACGTGATTCACCACGGGGATCTCAGGAAGATCCACAAAGCTGCCTCCCGGGGCCAAGCCTGGAAGCTGGAGAGGATGATGAAGAAAACGACAATGGACCTGAACATAAGAGATGCGAAGAAGAGGTACCAGACAGTGCCTGAGCCGGGGCTGCAGGAGGAGGAGGCGGCTGTGGGAGGATCGCCCCTTCAGAGTGGGGGCTAGGGGTCCTAGGGACGAGGGGAGCAGGTGGAGGAGTGGTGGGCAGCGGGGTGGCCGTCCCGGGCCCCGAGGTCTTGGCCTTGTTCCCGAGCAGGCCCTCCAGGCCTTGACAGGGCGGAGGGCCCAGGCCACCTTAAAATCAACCCCAAACTTTAGTTAGCTGCTTTCTCCTTCACTCCCATTTCCTCTCACAGAGCACTGTGTAGAGAATTTTAAAGTGATTTAACTTACAAAATTAAGTACATACAGGGTTTTACTTTTAATGTACAGGTTTTAGAAGATAATGTTAGATACATTATGAAATGGTGCGTAATGAAATAATTCCCATAATACATTAGCTTCTTGGCTAAAAGTTTTTTGGATAAAGTCCAGTATCCATTTCAATATCAATGAATGCCTATGTAAATATGTTCTTTGCTGAGGGACCTTAGAAGGTAACTTTGAGGTGGGAAGATGGTTTGTGTTTTCGAATTTAAGAAGACTCATTTTTCTCAAGATGCAAGCTCTTTATCAGTTTTACATAAACCAAATAAAGTTATCAACGTTTTAACATTTTTAAAATTACACACACTGTCTTTTACTATTGTGATGACATTTAAAAAATTTTGTAACAGAGTAGAAAAGTCTTGCCCTTCTAGATTTCAAACTGTGCTATTAATTTGCACAAAATGCGCCACGGCCAGGCAAGGTGGATCATACCTGTAATCCCAGCACTTTGGGAGGCCGAGGTGGGTGGATCACGAAGTCAGGAGATCGAGACTATCCTGGCTAACACAGTCTCTACTAAAAATGCAAAAAATTAGCCGGGTGTGGTGGTGGGCGCCTGTAGTCCCAGCTCCTCGGGAGGCTGAGGCAGGAGAATGGTGTGAACCTGGGAGGCGGAGCTTGGAGTGACCCGAGATCGCACCACTGCACTCCAGCCTGGGTGACAGAGCAAGACTCTGTCTCAAAATAATCATAATAAATAAATAAATAAAATTTGAAAAAAAAAAAAAAAAGGGCCAGGCGTGGTGGCTCATGCCTGTAGTCCCAGCACTTCGGGCGGCCGAAGCGGGTGGATCACCTGAGGTCAGGAGTTCAAGACTAGCCTGGCCAATATGGTGAAACCCCGACTCTACGAAAATACAAAAATTAACCAGGCACGAGGTCGGGAGCCTGTAATCCCATCTACTCGGGAGACTGAGGTGGGAGAATCCCTTGAAACTGGGAGGTGGAGGTTGCAGTGAGCTGAGATCCCATCACTGCATTCCAGCCTGGGCGACAGAGTGAGACTCTGTTTCAAAAATAAATAAACAAATCACAAATTCTTTGATAACAGCTGAAAAGACAGGTAAATGAATACACAGAATAGAAAATCCAGAAACACCCAAATATCTAAGAATTTAGAACTTTATACTAGTAGGGAAAGAATTAGTTTCATAAGCGAAATGCCTGCTTTTTGGAGAAAACTAGATTTTTATACCACAAAGTAAATTTCTGACGGAATATAGATTAAATTTTTTAATATACAAAATGATAAAAGCACCAGAAGAAAACATAAATGCCTATTTACACAGGTACATTTTTATGTTGACAACACCTCTCTAAGAAGCTCAGAAGCAAGCAGTCTGAAGGATAATTAAGCAAAGCAAAATTAAATTAACCTATAATGAGAAAAAATAAAAGGCAGCATACTTGTAAAATGTTTACTACACATGTATGTGTTTCTGTGTATACATATTAGATTTAAAAATCGTCATTTTATAGATAATTCACTTAAATCAACAAAAAATCCTCTAATTTAAAATTGAGCAATTTAAATTAGAGATCTAAATTGCAGATCTAAAAATAGTACTTTGCTTCTAATTTAAAATTGGGCAAAGTATTTTCTTAAGATCTGTAAGTGACCTATGCACACAGAAAACAATATTTAGTGTTCCTGGTTAGAGAAGGTATTTAAATTAAAAGAGGAATCAAATACTGTTTTCTATCTACAAAGTTTGTGAGGATGAAGAGCAGTGATATTTATACTGCTGTTTAAAGTTTAAGTTGCAGATAACTTTTCAAATAGACAATTTGGTGGTAAGTACCATATTATTAAGAAGAATCCATATAATGGCTTTTATAAATACATTTCAGTGAATTTACAGCATGGGATAATATGTGACCACTGAAGGTAGAAATATGTAGAGAAGTAGGTGACATTTGAAAGTGTATTTTGGTGTATCAAGTGAGGGTAAAGTTCAGTTTGATTATACATACACACAGACTACAGTCTTGTGTTATCTGAAATTGTGTATGAAATACGATAAAATTTGTTATTTGAGGGCATTTGTTTTAATTTAAATGTTTTTCCTTTTTATCATCTTTGATTTCCTCATTGAGCATGTACAATGCTATTAGAAAAAGTTTATTATTAATGGAATAATTTTTAGGAAGAGCAGGAATATAATTTTGCACCAATAAAAATAATTTCTCTCTTCCCATATTTTAGTTATTATTTTTTGTGGATTAGTATATTATGTGAACTTTTAGCATCTTCAAAAGACAATCTTTTTACCTGTGCTTGTTGATTTACATATACATCTTATTAGGCACATATTTTTATTATATATAGATTTATTACATATATGTCAATAATTATAGATTAATTAGTGTAGTTTTATTATTAAGAAAATAAAATAGAAAATATAAGTGATTTATAGCAGTTTTTTTAAGGTATTGAACTTCTCAACTGTATTTATCCTTTTAATCAATTTATCACATGTAAGCTGAATGCCTATTATGTAGAAGATACATTAACTCTCAAGATCCTTTCATCCTTAAAAATTTCACATTTACCTGCTCGGCCTTAGCAAAGTGAGAGGTTTAAAGTTGGAGTATTAGGACTGAATCTCAATTGAAGCTTTTCCTCTCATCTTTAAAACAAAAACTCTTCTGAAGTGAGAAACTAGTAAAAGATAACTACCAACCACGATTTTGGAAATTTATAACAGCTTTAAATAGTAATATTAATCATTAGAAATACCTAATTTACATGCAGTCTATAAATTTAAATATGAATTTACATACATTCTGTAAATCTAAATATGGAATAAAATGAGCCATACCTACTTGAATCCCAAGTTTTCTTTGGCTTGAAGTTTTAAAAATATTAAAGAAGTACTTTGTTATAACAGTTTGTTTTTATTTCAACTCTCCTTTTGTGTAGCACTCTTAAAAGCTAAAATTTCTTTAAGTGTTAATCCTATGATTAGGACTGCCATCATCCTGTTGTATATACCGTATTCCACTTCATGGAAGGCATCATGAGTTGTGTGATGCCTCCTTATTTATGTACCAATAAAAGATTGTTTAAATTTCTGCAAAATATACTTGTAATAAATAATGACTTATAAGTGGCATTTCAATGTCAGAGATGTTAAAATATGAGAAATAGAGTATCTTAGAATTATTAAAATACAGTTTTATCTCTAACCTTTAAAACATACCACAAAGTAGGCATAACTGTACCATTTAACTTAAAATGTTTTCTTTGTTAAGTAGTAGAAATAATTACAATATCTAACAATTACTGAGCTGTTACATGTGCTAGGAATTCTTTGAAATATATTGCACAGATTCTCATGAGGCATCACAGTGATGTCCTGTGAGAAAACTGCTGTATTCATCTTCACTTTATTGATGAGAAACTTGAGGCACAGAAAGGTTAGGTGATAGCTAGAAGGTGAAAGACTTTAAAGTAATATTCAAGCCCAAGTGAACTGAATCCAAAGGCCAAGCTCTTTCTATTCAAATAGGCCACTCTTTCACTAATGTAGTGAGTAATAAGAGTGAATGAATGTTGTTCTTTCTTCAGGAGAATATTAAATATTTGTTTTGAAGGCAGAGAAAGAGCATGGTATTTAATGTTGACAATTACATAAATCATTATATGCTTTGAGACAGTGGACTAAACTTTCCTAAAAAGTCCTCTCACTTTCGTAGGACTGCTCTACACTGGGCCTGCGCCAATGGCCGTGCAGAAGTAGTAACACTTCTGGTAGATAGAAAGTGCCAGCTTGACATCCTTGATGGCGAAAACAGGACAACTCTGATGAAGGTAAATGGTAGCCAGTTCTTTCAGCAGGAGATGGATTTGGTTTAAATACATAGAATAAAAATGAATGTATCTCATTGAAATATAGCTAGTTTGTGAAACCTGTGGAATATTTATTTATATTTCCTATAATTTATAATTTACTTCTTGCTTTAATACTGACAGGCTGTGCAATGCCAGAGGGAGGTTTGTGCAAATATTCTCATAGATTCTGGTGCTGATCCAAATATTGTAGATGTGTATGGCAACACAGCTGTTCATTATGCTCTTATAAGGTGAGAATTTGTCAGTGGTGGCAAAATTGCTGTCCTGTGGTGCAGACATCGAAGTGAAGAACAAGGTAGACGTTAACCAATGTTATTTTCAAAATATTTGAAATCCATTTGTTTTAACATTAACATATGTAAATTGTTTTATATTTGGAAGCTCAAACATTCTTATTTTCCTATGAAAATAGTTTGACCAAACTTAATTGTCTAGGATTTTGCTTTAAATATTAATATTTTTACAAGAACTATTAGTATGGTTTTTCTGTGCATTATGATAAATATTTGAGTTTGTTAAAGGTAAAATTTTTCAAATATTCTTTCCCACCCAAGTTTTTTTTTTCTTTCCAATTAGTATAAAACTACAGGAAAGTAAAATTTAGGAGACATGAAGAAATCTGGATTTCCTCTTAAAGGATTGAATCTGGTGTTTCTTGAGCCCATATGACTGTTTGGTATGCTATGAAGACATTCTAGCTTTACATAAAACATATGTTTCCAGTTTGCTACTGTGCCCACCTAGTTACATCACTTATTCAACTTACCTCTTTTGCCTCTGTAAATATTTCAGTTATCAATTCTTCTCTTGTAGTATATTTTGGTAAAGATTTCAAGTTATTGAAGACAGTTTATAGGTGTTTATAATATATAGTTTATATTTTACATTAATTCATTAATAATGGGGTTGTCTTCTAGAATTTAGAATATTTTTTAAATGATGATTTTTCTTCATATAAACCATAAATAATCATCTTCTATTAGAAGGCCTTTAAGCCTTTTTAGATTAATCATGTTTATATTTGAATGGGTTATGCAAATTGCAGAAAATATTATATCTTTCTCCACAGACTTGTCCCTTAAAATTCAAGTGATTTAGCGACTTCTATTTTGCTAATCCATATACGTGAGTTAGAACTTTCATTAATAAGCCATTTTATTCATACTTCTGATATTTTGCCAAAAAATAGTATCAATTACAATAGAAACCAGAATAAAAATGGATTATTGCATTTTAAGAAGTGGATATGCATTAGGATCCTAGGAGTATCATTATAATTGAGAATAAACTTTTATACTGAATTGCCTTTCTTTTTTTCTTTTTTTTTTTTTTTTTGAGACGGAGCCTCGCTCTGTCACCAGGCTGGAGTGCAGTGGTGTGATCTTGGCTTACTGAAACCTCTGCCTCCCTGGTTCAAGCGATTGTCCTGCCTCAGCCTCCTGAGTAGCTGGGACGCAGGCATGTGCCACCATGCCCAGCTAAATTTTTTGTATTTTTAGCAGAGATGGGGTTTCACCATGTTGACCAGGATGGTCTCGATCTCCTGACCTTTTGATCTGCCCACCTTGGCCTCCCAAAGTGCTGGGATTACAGGCATGAACCACCTTGCCTGGCCTTTTATACTGAATTTCTAATAACTGAGATAAAATCCTATTGTCTGGTAATAGGATAAACCTCATGGATGATTTAATAATAAGCAATCAAAGTTTATTTGAAGCCAATCTCTTTTAATTTAGAGCCACTTCCTTAGTGACCCATTTAGAGCAGGAGTGCCTGACATTGGCATCTGGAATCTTGGGATTATTGATAGAAGAGAATCAAGTAAGTTTGTATCACCCAGAGGAAACCTCCCTTTTTGGGGGGAAGCTTTCAAAACTGCATCCCTAAAATTCTAATTTGTCAAATGTTAATGTTTGCCACAAAAATATACTGTCAAATAAGGATTAGGTAAAGTTCAATTCATTTATTGAATAATGAACATTTAATTCACAGTTTTATAACTTTTCTTGAACATAGATAATGGTGGAATCTGTTGGGGTACAGTGCTTCTGGTAAGGTAATTATTCTTTGGAATATAGTTGAAGAAACATTGTTCCAGAGGTAATAATTTAGATTACTAATTTAATAAAAAACAAAGTATTTACTACTATGTCTTAGGGTTTAAGGATATAGAGGTAAAAGATACAGCCCTTGCCCTCAAGAAGCTCTTGGTTTAAATGGGAAACAATAAAATCATTACAATATAATGATTTTTGGAGATAACCAGAGTTAATGTGGTGACGCAGAGGCTGAATGTTTACAAGAGAAGGTGCAGTGCATGGGAAAGCACAGAAAAGTGAGAAAGAAGGGATTGCTATTGATTTACTTTCTATTGTTTATGTTCATAAGATATTATATAAGGTATTCAGTTCAGCTGAGAAATATGTAATTTCATGAATTATAAATTGTTTTTGCTGTTTTACAGACTGGCCACACACCGCTTTTACTGGTCATGAGGAAAAGAAGTGAGCAAATTGTGGAATTTTTACTGACAAAAAATGCAAATGCAAATGCAGTTGATAAGTTTAAATGGTATAGTAGTTTTTTTATTAAAAAACACTTGAGTAGTGTGCTAGAGTAATAACAATCAAGTCAGAAATATTAAATTAATAATATTTACTTAAAATTATTAGATTATACAGAAAAATACCAACACAAATTATCAGTTAGGAAGAAAAGCAATTATTTGGACTGGTCAACATAAAGAACAGTATATAATAGGATTTTCTTCTTTTATTGTATTGACTGATTCTTATTTGTAATCTGATGTTTTTGGTTGCATTATCTTCTATTAGCTAAAGTGGTTCTGTATTAGTTTTAAGAATTTTTAGTTTACTTTATAATTCAATATTGAATGATTAACACCTTTATAGTATTTTTCTAACTTCTGTTTTTCATGTGCTTTTAAAAAATGCAATATTTGCTGGGCATGGTAGCTGTCATCTGTTATCCCAGCACTTTGGGAGGCCAAGTGGGTAGATCAGCTGATGCCAGGAGTTTGAGACCAGCCTAGCCAACATGGTAAAACCCCATCTCTATGAAAAATATAAATATTAGCCAAGCATGGTGGCACATGCCTATAGTCCCAGCTACTCAGGACAATATTATTCCTAATATTGTTTTAAGTCTTCAGATTGCTCTCACTTGTCCGACTTCTAGCTAATTTTGAAGTACAAAATATTATATAAAACTAAGGAGAAAATAGATAATTCTTCACTTAAAACTTTGCCTCTTTTAGATTAGTGAACAGAACATATTTTCTTGCCCCTCAGTGGACTTTATGTTAGCCAATTCTACTATGGCATATCCCAGTGAGACATGAGTCTTTTTGCCCCTTCCTTTTAGCCTTGGTCGTGATTTACAAGGATAAACACTTGAGCACTCAAGATACTTAACGTTTGTTAATACATGTAAATGGTTAATTCTACACTGACAGGCACATATTAAATTGGTTCTGTTCCTAATAATGAAGTTATCTCTTTGTTATTTTAGCACAGCCCTCATGCTTGCCATGTGTCATGGATCATCAGAGATAGTTGGCATGGTTCTTCAGGAAAATGTTGACATCTGTGCTGAAGATACGTGTGGAATGATTGCAGAACGTTATGCTGTTGCTTGTGGATTTAATCCGTAAGTGTTTACATTTAAAGGCTAGGTGAGATTTTATAGTTTGTTTCAGGTAGTTTATGAATGACACTGAGTTAGTTCACTTCATCAGCCAGAAACCAGGCAAAAAGCTAGACTATTTAGAAGGAGTAATGGCTCCAGGATTCTTTATTTTAGGGCTTTAGGGACGCTAATGTTGTCTACTTGATTTGAAGTATGACCCCTATGCATGGGATAAACATAATGTCACGATTTTAGCTTTTCTAATTAGTTATTTGGGTCTCAAAATGTCCACTTTAAGCAGAAAACCTGATAGTGTCCCCAGGGGGCTGTCTTCCATACCTTCATTCTTGAATTTTTTAAAAGAATCTGACCCTAAGTCCAAGGAAGACATTCCTTCTGTGCAAGTCAGAAGGACTGGGAGGGGGTGGGGGAATGGCTATTCTCTTCATTTTGTTGTTTCCATTGATTCTGTTGCTGCATCTTTGCCATTGAAACTGCTCCTGCAGTCTGGTAATGATTGACCTTTGTGACCAGGATGCCCTTATTAACACAGATCCCTCAGTCTTCATGGTGTAGACTTTGAAGTTACTACATGTTTTTAAAGTTCATGTACATATTCTCAGCCATTGTTACCAAAGTATCAGCACCCCACTCTGGCAGCTAGAACTTTTAGCTTTAGCCACACAAATAGTGAGCAAATTGACCCTTCTCCTCACACTCAAAACCTGATGTGAAACCCACATCTTAACCTGGACATGGCCTAGACCTTCATGGTAACTTATCCTTTGAGTGACTTTTTCTATTTTCTCTACCCAATATTAGTTGTGGTAGTTTGAAACTGTAAGTCAGGTTGAAATATTGTTACAGGAAGAAATTAGAGATCCATTTTGTCTTTGTTAACAGATCTATATCCCTGGCCCTTTATATCCTGTGTAGCACCATTTTGTAGGTAGTGGAAGGTCTCACCTTATTCTGTAAAATCCCATGTCATCTTTCCCAAGTTGTAGTGGGTTCCAACTTGTGGTTGTCCCCTCAAGTGATTCTTTTTTCCTAAAAGTAAAAATCTCCCATGCTACTTACATCTCTACCTCGAGTTTTTAAAATATTTTCAAATGCTGCATCACCATGAAGCCATACAATAGACTTTATTAAATCTCAAGTAAGTTGGTTAGATTTAACAGAGCTAAGCCTCATCCATCACTGATCAGTCTTCACATATAAAAGTAAGGATTTGTGCTGGCTTCAGTGGTACATATAGTAAAATTGAAACAACGTTGAGAAGATCAGCATGGTCCCCACACAAGGATGACATAGAATCTGTAAAGTGTTGCATATTTCTTGCAGTCCCCAAAAGGACATTTTACTACTTTCTAACTAGCTCCAAGGAAATGGTGTGAGTCAAAGCAAAATGGGTGAAGCTCAGTATTGCAATTGTGATTTTCATACAAAAAATTATTTACGTAAGGTGATCTATGAAATGAGATGTGGTAACACATAGGATCTTGTGTGCAATATTTTGTTAGTAGGGATCTCAGAAATAAGAAAATACCAACTTGCATCTTCTTTGTGGAACTTACAGAAAATAAAGGTAGGGTTTTGTCTTCCACAGCAGCTGGAAATGAACATAGTGACTAAGCATCATTCTAACAAAGATTTGTTGGTTCAGAGTTTAAGGAGGTAGATAAAGAGTAGCAGTAGTCCAAGCCAGATGCTGACATCTATTATTTTCTGCCCTTGGTGTGACTGAGGAGCTCAGTAATAGAGTATAATTAGGTCATCTGATTTAATGATTTAATATATTTATAAATAAATTTCATTACAAAATATAAAATAGCTTAGATGCTCTGAATTACAAGCCACAAAGAACAGAAAATCTAATATCCAAAAGTAGGAATTAATAACAGAAAATTGCAATATTTGAATATTATAACCTATGAAGAAACACATTTGTGTTTTTTTCTTTGTAATTTAATTTTTGTAAAGACGTGGTCTCCCTATGTTGTCCACGCTGGTCTTGAACTTCTGGACTCAAGCAATCCTCCTGTCTCAGCATCCCAAAGTGCTTGCATCACAAGCATGAGCCACTGCACCAGGCCAATATATTGGGTTTTATTGGGAATTTTAAAATAGTTTCAGCAATAAGGTTGAAGAACAAATTATTTTTTTGCTTCACTTTTTATTTTAAGCATTTTAAAAATGTTATCTTGTTAAATCTTTATAATAACATAGTGAAATAAGGCCCTAAAATCCTCATTGTTAGAAGACATTGAGTCTAAGGAAGCAACTTGTTCAAGAAAAAATACCTGTTGGTAGCCATGCTAGGATTTATTCTGAGTTAAGGACATTTTCCATATGTCAAGCTACCTCTAGTTAATTTGCTGAGTTATACTGCCCTCACTTCATGAGTGTTTTATCTTACTTTCTTCTTTAATTAGAAGCTTAATAAGTTCATAGAGCTTACAAACTTAAAGTCTATGGAAAAAGTAATGTTCTGATGTTAGCTCTAATATTGTCTGAAATACTCTAAGAACTTAACAAATTTGGTAAATGTTTTTTATATCAATGTTAAAATAGTAATTTTATTTATTTCATTTTTATACATAGCATTGATCAACAACTTTTGGAATATAAACAAAAGATATCTAAAAATTCTCAAAATAGCAATCCAGGTAAGACCTCTGATAGTAAACTACACTTGGTGGTGCTACCATGAGATTATAGGAGTGTTGATCACAAAAGAGCTATTAAAAAAGCAACGTGTAAGTAGCATGTGTTTACATATATACCTATACGTAAGTGTTTTTATATATACAGAGCTTTGATTTAATTTTTTAGTTTATAATTCAGAATTCATTAAGAATTTAGTTGTAGGTGGTTTATAATCTCAAAAATATTATCTGAAAAAATATTTGTTTAATTGTGGTCCCTAATATCCTATATAATACTTTTGTATAAATAAGTAAAACAATTTTTAAGTTTATATATTGTATGTTTCCTTAACTGTCATAACAATTTATGCTTGTTATAAAATGTATAATCCTTGGTGTGATTGATGAGTTCAGTAATAGGGGTTTATCAGCTTATCCAATTTAATGAACTAATATATTTATAAATAAACTTCATTACAAATTATAAACTAGCTTAGATGCCTTGAATTACAAGCCACAAATAACAGTACATCTAATAATGAAAAGTAGGAATTAATAAGAGAAAACTGCAACATTTGAATATTATAACCTATAAAGGAACACAGTTAAACTGTTAAATAAACAAGTATTTATGTTTGTTTATTAAACATAAACAAACATATAAAGTGTTTATTTGTTAAATAAAAAAATAAATTATTTGTTTGTTTCTTTATTGTAGAGACATGGTCTCCTTATGTTGCCCAGGCTGGTCTTGAACTTCTGGGCTTTATGTAATTTTTACAATAAATGATTTGCATTTAGAAAATTAGAATTAATTACAGTTGAGTCTTGAGCAACATGAGAGTTAGGGTGCTGATCCCCCCATGCAGCTGAAAATCTGCTTTATATGAAAATCTGTTTCTTTTGACTCCTCCAAAACTCTACTAATTCTTGACCTGGAGCCTGAAAAAAGGTGAAAGCATAAGCAGTCAATTAACCCATAGTTTCTATTTTATATGTACTATATATTGTATTCTTAGAATAAAGTGAGTTGGAGAAAAGAAACTGTTATAAAGAGGAAGAAATATATTCACTATTTATTAGATGGAAGTGAATTGTTATACATAAAGGACTTCATTCTCATTGCCTTCATATTGAGTAGGCTGATAAGGCGGAGGCAGAGGAGAGATTTGTCTTGGTATCTTGCAGTGGCAAAGGAAAAGAAAAATCTGTCTATTAGTGGGCTCCTAGAGTGAAAACCCTTATTCAAAGATCAACTGTGTGGCATAGTGACTTGTGTCACTAAATATCTTTAGAATTTGGAACTCAATAATACTTTTCTTGCACCATAAATGAATGTCAATAAGAATTAACATAACTTAGCGAGGGTGCATCAGTACCAATAGGAGATTATTTTTCAAAGATACCTAATGAGTGCAGAAGTCAGAAAAGCAATTATTTGTTCAGAAGCACAGGTTATGTTACATAGTCTTGTACCAACAATTTCTCACTATTACCAACTTCATTCCCTCTAAGTTGAAACCAAATAAGATATATTTACTTCATTAGAACAAGATGTGTTGTTCTATCTGCTGGATAATTAGTGTGTTAATAGTAATTTTGTTACAACAAGTTACTCTCGTCCTACTAGCCAAAATATTATCATTATAAATATTCAACTAGCTCAACTCTAGGCTCAACAAATAATAATAAAAGTGGAAAAAATTTTCACAATAACAAAAGTGCTACTGTGATACCTAAATGTGACACAATACATTGTACAATATGAACTATATGAACACATCTTTAATTTATTACATATTTATCAAAGGACTTCTATAAGTTAGATTTTGCAAGTTGCAGGAGACCAAGATGGAATACACATAGTCTGGGTCTTTAAGGTGCTCATAATACATTAGAGCTGTCTCTATTGAATTTCTGCATTTTTCCAACAGAACTTCCTAACTATGTTTTTTATTTGTTTATCCACTTGTCCACTTAACAAATAACTGTCAGGTATCTTTAAGGTACTAAGCATCTTTCTTGTTATTATCATTGTCATTTTTTATTATTTACTACTTTATTAAGGTACTAAGAATTTTTCTTGTTATTATCGACTTTTTTTATTATTTACTACTTTATTTAGTGCTTACTCTGTGCCAGAACCCCTTCGGGAGCTTACAATTATCACTTATTATGTCATTACCATATTCAGTATGTGTCAGACATTTTATATCCAAAGTGAAGAATTAAAGCTTTAAAAAGTTTGGTAGTGTCCAGGAGCGGTGGCTCACTCCTGTAATCCTAGCACTTTGGAAGGCCAAGGTGGGTGGATTGCTTGAGCTCAGGAGTTTGGGACCACCCTGACTAACATGGTGAAATCCCATCTCTACTAAATACAAAAAATTAGCTGGGCCTGGGTGGCATGCATATGTAATCCCAGCTACATGGGAGGCTGAGGTAGAGAATTTCATGAACCCAGGAGGCGGAGGTTGCAGTGATCTGCTGAGATCGTGCCACTGCACTCTAGCCTGGGTGACAGAGCGAGGCTGTTGTCTCAAAAAAAAAAAAAAAAAAAGGAGAAAACAAAAGTTTGGTAGTATTTAAGGAAAGCAAGCTGAATGAGTAGAAGTTTTCCATGTAAAGAGTCAGAAGGATGATATTTAGCAGAAGGAAAATTTAACCTGACTGTGTGTTTGGCAGAAGGAACATGTGAAGGAACACCTGATGAGGCTGCACCCTTGGCGGAAAGAACACCTGACATGGCTGAAAGCTTGGTGGAAAGAACACCTGATGAACAGCATACAGTGAGTTCCTCTTCAGAGATTTTAGCCTGTAAAAATCCTTTAAAATTCAAGAGGGGGAAGATTAAGTACAACGAGTTCTGAGTTCCTCATCAAAGAGCAAATATGTCAGTATGTTCAGATTCTCTGTTCTTTGTTCTCCGTTTTAAAGTTTAACTTCCTCGTTCGTTATGCCTCCTTGCCCCTAGTTTCATTAAACAACCCCCTTCTAGCCTCTAACACCTGTTTTGTCTTTAGTCATTCTTAGTCACCTGCTCTGTCCTTAGTCATCCTTAGACACCTGCTCTGTAACTGTCTTTCCAGCTGAAACTACTCACCCTGCCACTCCAGCTCATACCCCTGCTCTCTTTGAAGTAGCCCATCTGAATTAGCTAAGAGTGTGCAGTCCAACCCTATCCAATAGGGAAAAGACACAACAGTAGGGACTAGCTGCGTTAGGAATAAGAACACTTTCCCTTCCCTTGTCCGGTGTGATCTTGCCATTGCTCCATCTGCAAGACCACTATTTCATAGAAGTAAATTTGCCTTGCTGTAAAAACTTGTTGCTGGAGTGCTGACTGTTCTTTGCGGCACTGAAAATTTATTTTCCACAAATTTGGGGGCCCACCCAGCATTCCCATTCTCCTCTGGGGGAGGGTCCAGTCCTCTCCCGTGAGGAGGCGCACCCCGCTGCCTCGTTGCAGTGGCCATAAAGGTAAGGAATCAAGACTCAACTGGTGCGATTAATAAACCTGGGCTCTCAGCAACGTGGAAAGAAACAGGCCAGCATCTTTGGGGAAAGGATCTTTACATGCCGTGGCGACCAGGTAACTGTGCACAGACCGAGGTAAGAAATGTCGCAAGGGTGACAAAGTATTTCCTTGGTGGTCGGGATATTCTGGAGGTTGAAAGTGTGTGTGAATGATCACAAGCACTACTGCTTGTGGTGCTGTTTGTGTTGATGATACTAAGCATTATTGCTGTGAGGAGTGAGTGGGTTCTACCTGCAGTTTTTTATTTGAATAAAAAACCTTTGAAGAGGAATTCAGTGTATCCTCATAGGGCTCAGGGCAGATCCTGCTGTGGGGTTTATACCATGATGCCAATGCTAAGAGGGACCTAAAATTCCTGGGAGGGAAGCAACCAGAGTGGATGAAGTGAAAGAAGGGTGCAAGGAGCCTCCAGCAGGTGGCGTTAAAGGATAGGGAAGAAATCTCTAGCATGTGGGATTGAGCCTAACCAGGACCTAACATGGGAAAAGCCCCAAGTAAGACAGGGCGCAAAAAAGAAGAGGATAGTAACAAATACATGTCCCCTGATAGTCCTCTGGGTCTCATGTTAAAATATTGGAAGGATAATGAGAGGACTAAACATAAGAAAAAGCATTAGAGGATAAAATATTGCTGTTTCATTTGGACCCAAGGTCCCATTTTCAAACCCTCAATCTTCTGGCCAAAGTTTGGGTCGAATGAGGATGTCATGTGTCAACTTCTAATTCAATATGTTAATGATAAAAATCTGGTCTCTCAAGAAGAACTAGATTATGTTCTTTGTTTGAGACAGGGACCTGTCTTTATTCCCTTAAAGACAACTAGGGAAGAACCCGATCCAGCATCTCAAATTGAAAAGTCAGATGAGCGGACTCCCACACCTAAAGCCAGCACATGGGATCCCCTATACCATTTTGCCCTGCTCAGTGCCTCTGACCCTTCCCCTCGGGCAGCTGCTGCCACCCCAGATCCCACCCCAGATCCTTCTCCTGCTCAAGCTGTTCCTCCTCCTTACAACTCTAATTCTTGGGAGTTATCATCCCATGAGCCTGTCCCCTGTCAACCTAAATACCTCTCCCTAAAGGGGTTCCAGCATGAGGTACAGCAATGTAAAAAGGACATGCAGAACTTCCCTTTTCTCTCCACACCTAAGAAGTCAGCCCCAACTCTCTTCCCCTTAAAAGACATGCCAAAAGGAGGAGGAGCCATTGTATTTGTGAATGCTCCCTTAACCAGTTCAGAAGCCTGAAGTTTGAAAAAGGAAATTAAGCCACTGTTAGATGACCCTTATGAGGTGGCAAATCAGGTTGATCAATTCTTGGGACCTCAGTTATACACTTGGGTCGAGTTTATGTCCATCCTAGTCATCCTCTTTTCGGAGGAGGAAAGAAGCATGATCTGATCCGTAGGGCTGCTATGGCAGTTTGGGAATATGAACACCCTCCTTGTCAAAACGTTCCTACCACAGACCAAAAATTCCCTGCCCAAGATTCCCAGTGGGATAATAAAAACGCAGCTCACCAAGAAAACATGCAAGACATAAGGGAAATGATAATGAAAGAAACTAGGGAATCAGTACCCCAAAATCAAAATCTCTCTAAAGCATTTGATATACAATCCCCTGGGACAGGGAATGTTAAAGCTCCATTTTGTCACTAAAAGTTGTCCAGATATTTCTTTTTATTTTTTTTGAGATGGAGTCTCTCTCTGTCACCCAGGCTGGAGTGCAATGGTGCAATCTTGATTCACTGCAAGCTCCACCTCCCAGGTTCACTCCATTCTCCTGCCTTAGCCTCCTGAGTCGCTGGAACTACAGACGCCCACCACCACGCCCAGCAATTTTTTTGTATTTTTAGTAGAGACGGGGTTTCTCCATGTTAACCAGGATGGTCTCAATCTCCTGACCTCGTGATCCACCCACCTCGGCCTCTCAAAGTGCTGGGATTACAGGCATGAGCCGCTGCGCCTGGCCAACATTGTCCAGATATTTCAAAAAAGTTACAAAAATTAGAAGATTGGGAAAACTGACCTCAAGTGAACTTCTGAGAGAGACTCAAAACGTATCTGTAAAGAGAGACGAAGAAAAGCAAAAACAAAAGACAAAACTTAAGTTATTCACCTTCCAACAGATGGCTCCAAACCCATGTACCCCTAAACAAAGCTTCCAGTGGGCCAGAAACTATAAAGGTTCCAAACCCTCCTTTAAAGGACCCAAGCCTCCATTGGGAGGATCAAGGCTCTCGTCTACCAGGCCATCTAAATAGCATGGGGGAGTAAAATCAAAGAATCCCAGAACTGAGAGTGGGGAAGGGCAAGGTAGGCACTACAAATGTGGAAGAACAGGCCACTTCAAGAGAGAATGTCCCAAATTAGAAAATGAAAAAGAAGTCCTTCCACTCATGGCTTTTGAGGAAGAATAGTGGGGTCAGGGGTTCTGTCTCTTTTATCTTGAGTCCCACCAGGAGCCCTTGATAAGTCTAGAAGTGGGACCTAAGCATGAGTTTATAACCTTTTTAGTCAATTCAGGAGTGGCTCGATCCTCTGTTTGTTTCCCCCCCATCTAATATTGCCTACTCTTCAGAGGAACTTTTGGTTTGTGGGGTAAAGGGAGAAGGATTTAAAGCAAAAATTTTAGAAAACACAGAAGTCAGATACCAGGCTCAATCAGCTCATATTCAGTTTTTGTTAATCCCTGAAGCAGGGACTAATTTACTAGGGAGGGATTTAATGTTGAAGTTAGGCATAGGCCTGCAACTCAGCCCAAGAGGATTCCTCACTTCATTAAAGCTACTCACCACTGCAGATGAAAAATATATTAATCCTAATGTCTGATCCAAAGAAGGAAACTGAGGGAAACTCTGAGTCCCTCCAACCACATCAGGCTAAAAATCCCCAGGGAAGTAGTAAGGAAGAAACCATACCCCATTCCCCTAGAGGGCAGGATAGGGTTGAAACCTATAATTGAAGGTCTTATTAAAGATGGGCTTCTTGAGCCCTCTATGTCCCCTTATAACACCTCAATATTGCCAGTCAAGAAATCAGATGGGCCATACCGGCTGGTACAGGACCTTAGAGCTATTAACCGAATAGTCCAAACTACCCACCCCATTGTCCTCGATCCTTACACCATTCTCAGCAAGATTCCATATAATAATCAATGGTTTACTGTAATAGATTTCAAGGATGCTTTTTGGGCATGTCTCCTGGCTGAAGATAAGCAAGATATATTTACTTTTGAGTGGGAGGATCCCCATTCAGGGTAGAAACAACAATATCAATGGATAGTCTTACCCCAAGGGTTCACAGACTCCCCTAACCTTTTCAGTCAAATTTTAGAACAAGTATTAGAAAAAGTTATCATCCCAAACAAATATGCCTGCTCCAATATGTTGATGATATTCTTATATCTGGTGAAGATATAGAGAAGGTAGCTGGCTTCTCTACACATATTCTCAACCATCTGCAGTTCGAGGGGTTATGAGTCTCAAAGGGAAAGCTTCAGTATGTAGAACCTGAAATTAAATATTTAGACCAGTTGATAAGTGCAGAGAAGTGAAGAATAGGGCCTGAACGAGTTGAGGGAATCGTGTCCCTACCCTTGCCTCAAACTTAAACAAGAACTCAGGAAATTTTTAGGGTTAGTTGGATACTGCTGCTTATGGATTAACTCATATGCACTAAACAGTAAACTTCTATATCCAAAATTTGCCAAGGGGAAGACTGACCATTTCCTGTGGACGTCTGAGGAAGTCGATCAGGTTGAAGAGCAGATAAAAAGGCTTATAACAGCCTGTCTTAGCCTTACCTTCCCTAGGAAAGCCATTCCACCTTTTTGTCAACACGGATAATGGGGTAGCTTTAGGAGTGTCCACTTAAGAACATGGAGGTCATCGGCAGCCCATGGTGGCCTTCCTGTAAAAAGTCTTAGATCCAGTTACTTGTGGGTAGCCTCAATGCAGCCAATCCATTGTGGCTACAGCACTAATGGCCAAAGAAAGCAGGAAGTTAACCTTTGGAGGAAAATTGACAGTAAGAAAGCCCCATCAAGTTAGAACTATCTTAAACCAGAAAGCAGGGAGGTGGCTTACTGATTCAAGAGTCTTAAAGTATGGGACTATTCTGTTAGAAAAAGATGATTTAACATTAATCACTGATAATTCCTTTAACCCAGCAGTTTTTCTAATAGGGGATCCAAATCTAAAGAGATAGCACTCATGTTTAGACTTAACTGATTACCATACAAAGGTCTGACCAGACCTAGGAGAAACTCCCTTCAGGATGGGATGACACTTATTTATAGATGGTTCCTCCCAGGTGATTGAGGCAAAAAGATGCAATGGGTATTCAGTAATTGATGGAGAAACTCTTGAAGAAATTGAGGCAGGAAAATTGTCTAAGAATTGGACTGCCCAAACGTGTGAGCTATTTGCACTCAGCCAAGCCTTAAAGGACTTGCAGAACCAGGAAGGAGCCATCTATACCAATTCTAAGTACGTCTTTGGAGTGGCTCATACATTCGGAAAAATTTGGACTGAACGAGGTCTCATTAATAGTAAACGTCAAGATCTTGTTCATAAGGAGCTATTCACCCAAGGATTGAATAACCTTCAGTTGCCAGAAGAAAGAGTGACTGTCCATGTCCCCAGACACCAGAAAAGTCTTCCTTTTGACAGTCTAGGAAATAACCTAGCAGATTACATAGGAAAACAGGCTGCCATTTCTTTTAAAACATCTATTTTTCACTGAACTCTTTACCTTTTTCCTCCTAACATAATCTCCATTTTCTCTTCCACTGAAAAGAGAAACTAATAAAAATAGGTGCTAAGGAGAATTCAAAAGAAAAATGGATATTGCCAGACCAGAGGGAAAGGTTGTCCAAACCCCTTATGAGGGAAAACTTGTCCCAACTGCATCAAGGGACCCACTGGGGGCCCCAAGCCATGTGTGACACAGTTCTGAAAGTTTTTCGGTGTATAGGAATTTATACTCTGGCCAAACAGGTTACAGACAGTTGCTTAGTATGTAAGAAAACTAATAAACAAACTATAAAAAGATTACCCCTTGGGAGAAGGAGTCCAGACTTAAAGTATGCAGTTTGATTACACAGAGATGCCTCCAATAGGTCGTCTAAAATATTTACTAGTGACAGTAGATCACCTTACCCACTGGGTCAAAGCTATTCCCTTTTCAAATGTGATGGCCAATAATGTAGTTAAGGCCTTAATTGAAAATATAGTGCCCAGGTTTAGGCTAATAGAAAACATTGACTCAGAAAATGGAACCCATTTTGCCTCAAACTATTACATTTGATGCTTGCCTTGTTATACCTTGTGGAGCCTTGTCAGGCCACAGACAGCTCTCCACTTCCGAAAAGTACCTCTGTACTTCCTGGCTGTCCTCAGACTGGACATTAGTGAATTTGGATCATTTAGTCTGGGAAAGTTTCAATGAAGACCCCAGTGTCAACTGGGAGTCTTGCCCCCTTGACACAGAGCTTTTATGACTAGTTGGTCCAACTACGTGCAAGTGAGAGCAAGGATGGACTGCCCCAACCAGTAGTTGTAATTCCTAAAACCATACATTTATTTTACTAAAGATATAGCTCCCCTTAACTTTCAGGTAAACTAGTGCAACTCAATACAAGTTATTATTTCAAACCTACAAAGTTCTTCCCCTTCTCTAAGCCAATTCCCTTCTTTAAGCTGGTTTTATGTTATGGGGGCTGAGTTTTCAGAAACAGACCCTATTGGATCTTTGAAATATGCTTCATTGCTCCCCTACTGCCTACAGCTTCCCCTAAGTCTTCTTCCAAAAACTCTCACAATGAAACTGTTGTTCCTCCTCCATCTAATGACAAGATCAAAGTAGCTATTGTAGAAGTTAAAGACCTAAAACAATCTTTGGCAACTGAGACAGGATATCAAGATGCGAATGCCTGGTTGGAATGGATCAAATACTCCATTCGTGCTTTAAACAAAAGCAATTGTTATGCTTGTGTACACGGCAGACCAGAGGCCCAGATTGTCCCCTTTCCACTAGGATGGTCCTTCAGTCGACCAGGCATAGGCTGTATGGTAGCTCTTTTCCAGGGTTCCACAGCCTGGTGTAACAAGTCATGTCAATCTCTCTCTCTGCTATATCCCAAAGTTCAACACCCTGCAGGTCAGCCCCCAAGGGCCATCTAGCTTCCGTCTCCTGACACTAAGTTCACTTCATGTCTCTCACAATAAGGAGGAAACTTAGCTTTGCTTGGAGACCTAAAAGGATGCAGTAAGCTTAAGACTTTCCAAGAGCTTACCAATCAGTCAGCCCTTATACAATCCTGAGAAGATTTATGGTGGTATTGTGGTGGACCTTTACAGGACACTCTGCTAAGTAACTGGAGCAGCGCTCGTGCTGTAGTCCAGTTGGCTATACATTTCACTCTGGCATTTCATCAACCAGAAAAAGGGAAAACACAACATCGTAAAGCAAGGGAAGTCCTTTATGGGTCTTTTGACTCCCACATTTATTTAGATGCTATTGGAATCCCATGAGGAGTATGAGATACATTTAAGCCCAAGATCAAATAGCTACCGGATTTGAATTGATATTTTGGTGGGTGACAATAAAAATGTAGATTGGATAAATTACATCTATAATAATCAACAGTGGTTTATTAATTACACCAGGGATGTTGTCAAAGGAATAGCAGAACAATTGAGGCCCACTAGCCAGATGGCCTGGGAAAACAGAATGGCCCTAGATATGATATTAGCTGAAAAAGTGGTGTTTGTGTTATGAATAAAACTCAGTGTTGTACCTTTATCCATTGGGAGCAAACAACACTGCCCCCAGTGAGAGCATAACAAGGGCCCTACAAGGATTTACCACTTTATCCAAAAAATTAGCTAAAAATTCTGGAGTCAATAACCCTTTCTCAACGTGGCTAGAAAGGTGGTTCAGTAAATGGAAAGAAATCATAGCCTCAATTCTTACTTCTTTTACAGCAGTAATGGGTGTACTCATTCTTGTTGGGTGTTGTGTCATACCATGCATCCATGGGCAGTGCAAAGGCTTATATAAACAACACTTTCTAAAACCTCCCTTAGCTGTCCTCCACCTTATTCAGATAGGCTTTTCCTTTTAGAGGATCAAGTTGAAAAAAAAAAAGCCAAGACATGCTAAAAAGGTTTGAAGAGGAAGGGCTATAAAAATTGAAAGAGGCAATTGTAGAATACAGTGAATTACTCTTCAAAGGTTTTAGCCTGTTAACGTCCTTTAAAATTCAAGAGAGGGAAGATTGTTAAGTACACTGAGTTCTCAGTTCCTCTTCAAAGAGCCAATAAGTCAGTATGTTCAGCTTCTCTGTTCTTTGTTCTCCATTTAAAGTTTAACTTCCTCATTCTTTATGCCTCCTTGCCCCTAGTTTCAGTAAACGACCCCCTCCTAGTCCCTATCACCTACTCTGTCCTTAGTCATTCTTAGTCACTTGCTCTGTCCTTAGTCATCCTTAGTCACCTGCTCTGTAACCATCCTTCCTGAGGAAACTACCCACCCTGCCACTCTGGCTTGCACCCCTGTCCTCTTTGAAGTAGCCAGTCAAAATTAGCTTAGAGTGTGTGATCCAACCCTATCCAATAGGGGAAAGATACAGCAGTAGGGACTATCTGCATTAGGAATAAAAACCCTTTCCCCTCCCTTATCCAGTGTGCTCTTGCCATTGCTCCATCCGCAAGACTCACCCTTCTATAGAAGTAAATTTGCCTTGCTGGAGTGTTAACTTGTTGCTGGAGTGGTAACTCTTCTTTGTGGCACCAAAAAGTTATTTCCAACACGAAGCTGCACCCTTGGTGGAGGGAACATCTGACGAAGTTCAATGTTTGGGGAAAACAATATCTGGAAAGACTGAACAGTCAGCAAGAGAAACACCTAGGAAAATTACAAGGCCTGTGAAAGAAACGTCTGAGAAATTTGCATGGCCACAAGAAAGACCTACAAAGACCACATGGGAGGAAAAAGAAACATCTGTAAAGACTGAATGCGTGGCAGGAGTAACATCTAATAAAATTGAAGTTTTGGAAGAAGGAACAGCTAAGATGATCACATGTCCTACAAAGACAGCTACAAAAGCAAGTACAAATGGTCAGATGCTTGAGTGAACTTTGTAGAGTTTATTGGCACTTTGGGTTCCCTAGTGGAAATAGTGTGGTACAGGAGTAGTCAGGAATGGCTTGAATGTCTAGATAAGGCAAGCTTAGGCAACACATTTTAATAGTGTAGAAACGAGTAGATGTTATTCTGTAGGCCCTGGAAAAATTCCCAGAATACTTCTGGCTGTAAATATTAGATGAAAATAACTAACAATTGCTAAAACCATAGAAACCAAAGTTGTTTTGGTGGTACAGGGATATTATAAGTTCTCACTCCCCCTCCCCCATTATTAGTTATGCTATCAGCAGTGTTTTGTTCATGTCTCCTTTCTTGGTTGGGTAATTAGCAACAGCTCCAATCATCATGCTAACTCAAGACAATATCTGAAGTCTGGGAGTGCTGCTTTTGTTCACATTTTTTTTTTAAATAGGAAGAAAACTTGGAAGCTTGCAGTAATCTTCCTGTAACATTTTATTGGCTGGATTATACCACATGCTTATTTCTATACCAATCACTAGGAAAGCAAATGTTATTACTGTGATTAGCTTAGAATAATGATTTTTCTTTTAAGATTGGATGGGGGTAACGGAATAATAAATATCTAAATGAACTTGTGTTTCTGCAGCAATAAAGAATACATAATGACTATGCATAGGAAGCCAGCAATGTTTTCTGCAGGAACACAGTGGAAAAGTTTGAGCAGGGGAGTCACAAGATTAGATTTGAGTATCAGGGCATTCTGGTCATGGTATAAAGCAGAGATTGGCAAACTTTTCCTGTAAAGTGCCAGATAGCGAATATGTTGGGCCATGTGGTCTCTATTACAGCTATTCAACTCTGCCATTGTAGGGTGAAAGGAGTCATAGATAATGGATGGGCAAAGAGGCATGATTGTACTCCAATAAAAGTTTGTATAAAAAACCATTTAGTAAGCTGAATTTGGCCTGTGGCCTATAGTTTCTGGACCTTCATATAGAAGATAGATGGAGGATAATCACATAAAAAGATTTAAAGATGAAGCTTTTGTAGTAGTTCATGCAATAGTCTTTTTTTTTTTGTAACAAACCTGTGGCCTAGTATCAATCTATTATGAAAGTTTGATCCATCAAGTGTAAAATGAATCAAGTTCAGAAGCTCAATTTACACATTTAAACATGTAGGTCCTTCTTTGGCATTGTTTTATTTTGATTAACTTTTTTAACTTAAAAAATAAGAACAGTAATTTATAGGGTTTCTTTTTCCCTGTGAAAACCATCAGTTAAGGGGCCACGTTTAACTAGGAAATATGAATATAAAATAAATAAGTATGTATTTCCAGTGGCAATGGAAAGATAAAGCAAAGGCAGAAAAGAGGTGCAGTTAATATGGCTTAGTGATAATTGAGTTTAAAAAGCTAGGGGACAGATAAAATCTCAGGTCATTCATAAGTTTTCAGATTGTGCATAAGCATTTACAATGCTCATGGGGAAGGAGTAGGAATTTGTCAGGTTAACAGAGAAGTGCAAACAGTAATGGGACAGACCAACAGTTTTCTTTACATATTGAGTTCAATGAAACATTTATGTGGGATACTTTCAGTAGGCAATTGGATTATATACATTTCTAGCTGGAGATAGAACTCTGCTTGAAGATGCAGGCTTAGAATACTTTTATTATAATTATTAGGCAAAGCCATAGATCTCAATGAGCTTATCCATGAGGCAGAAGATGTAGAATAAAAAGAAAGCCATTGACACAACCCTGGGAATATCGACATTTCACAAGAGTCAAAGGACTTGGTAAAGGAGACTGAGCAGTGGTTAAAGAAACGTAGGAGAGGAGTCTGAGAAAGTGATGTTACAAATTTCTTTTAAATGTGAGAATTTCAAGCAGTAAACTTACTCAAAAATCTACTGGATTTAACTTACAAGTTCTTCAGTGGTAATCTGTTCAAAAGAATTATTTTAGAGTTGTTAGGTATACTTTTGATGTGGTTGATATTTCTGGTATCCAAGAAGAAATCTCCCAAGATCATACCTAACTTTTTGTAACTAAAGCAGCATACATACACAGGGAGTGGGAAAATGTCTAGACTGGTGAGTACACATGCCAACATTTTTCCAGAAATTTCTGCCTCCTTATTATACCACTTGAGTAAGGGGTTTAGAGATTTTAGACTATACTTGGGAATTTGTCTATTTCTTTTGCAGTTGTGTCAATTTTTCTATCATGTATTTTGAAGCATTTATGTTATTATGTACATAAATATTTAGGACTGTTATGTTTTCTTGATTAATTGAACCCTTTGTCACTATAAAATGACCTTGTATATTGCTGGTAATATTTTTGCTATGAAATGTACTTTGGTATTAATACAACCACTCTTCCTCAGCCTTCTTTTGTCAAGTGTTAGTGTGGTATATCTTGTTTCATCTTTTAACTAATTTTTGTCTTTATATTTAAAGTTTATTTCTTATATGCATTATACAGGTAAGACTTGCTTTTTTATCCATTCTGACAATCTGCCTTTGAGCAGAGGTTTTTAGACCAGTTTAATTTATAATGTAATTATTGATATGATTAGAGTTGTCTGTCATCACACTGTTTGATTTCTATTAGTCCCAGATCTTTGCTTTGCTTTTTTCCTTTTTCTGCTTCCTTCAGACTAGTTTAGTAATTTTTATGATTTAGTTATATATCTGTATATGCATAACTTTTTTAGTTATTAATCTAGTTTTACATTTCTTTATGATTTAGTCATATCTTTTTTGGTATAAGTTTATTTGGTATTAGGTATAACTCTTTGCTGTCTTAGTAGTTGCTTTGGGATTTATAGTGTATGAATTTACCTCATCACAATCCATCTTCAAGTAATATTATATCATATCATAGATGGTATAAGAAATTACAATCATATTTTCATTTCTTTTCTATCAGCCAGATCCCAGCCTAGATCTGTGGGATTATGGCTTTCATTAAGTTTAAAACATATTTAGCCAATTTTTTCTCAAATTTTTTATTCTGCCTCTCCTCCTACCTCTTTGCAGACTTATATATTACCTGCTGGAAGTTTGCTCTTAGTTCACTAGTGTCTCAAATTTGTGAATCTTTTATTTCATGATGGTGAATTAATCTATGCTCATATCTACTCAGTGCAGCTTTCATCTCCAGCATTGTAACTTGTATCTCTACAAGTGCAATTTGGTTTTTAAAAGTATCTTCTATTGCTTTACTTATCTTCTTGATTTTTATAGTAGAATAGAGTTGAGTTACTTATAAAGAGCTTGATCCTTTTCATTTTTCTTTTTATGGTATGAGCTAACTCCCCATACCTAAGGCAAGGCCTTTCTGAGCATTCATTTTCCTGTGAAGTCTGAGTTTTCCCAGGCAAATCTATAAAAATAGACGCTCTTTTTGGCACTGTGTGAGCACCAGGTGTGATTTCCTCTAATTTTATAGGCCACCCCCCACCCCCACCCCCACCCGGTTTGTTCTTAGGTAGTTTTCTAGCTCATATGCAATTTCCAAAATTTCGCTAAATACTGACAGGGAGTTTCTTGCCGTTGATTCTGTATCTCTCTCTCCTCCTCAGTGTTTGTTCTGTAATATCTGTCTGCTTTGGTTTTACCAGACTCTAAGCTTCATCAATGTAACCAAGAGAGTCTGGTAGATCCCACCTCAGTTTTTTCTTCCTGTGTCATGTCTCCGAATCTCTATCAAGGCAGGAAGCTGAAACATTCATAAGGTTTGCTTTCTTTCGTGTTTTTTTTTCTGTTTTTTAGGGATTATTATCTTCTTTGCCTAATGTCCAGTGTCTGAAAAATTATTTACTGTATTTTGTGTGTTTTGATTTTAGTTATTTTAGCTAAGAAGAAAAATCATACCTGTTGCTCTCCCTTGGCTAGAGGCAGACTACACTAGAGTTTCAGCACATGCCACAGACTGGCTAAAATGCTTTCCTTCCCTTTTGCTCAACTGCTTCCTTTTCATTCTTCATTCCTCAGTGTAGCTATACATTCCTCGGGGGAATTTTCCATGAGCCTAGTATAGATCTAATTCTTAGCAAACTGTTTTCTTACAGTATCTATCTGAATTTATAACTGTCACTTTTCTGGGGCTTCGTCTTTTAGCACATTTTAAGTTAAACAAAGGCAGAGGTTTTTGTTTTTTTCTGTTTAATCTGCAGAGCTTAGTATAATGCCTTCCACGAGGTAGGCAAACAATATATATTTGATCAGTGTATGAATTAGTGATTGTTAAAATATGCAGTTCTTTATATCCCAAAAGTACTTATATATTTTATTTCTATCTCCTCCTGGAGACAGATTCAACTAGCCTATCAAAATTCTTGGATGCAATTCTTTCTTGTGAAAGAGCAAGGGAAATTAAAAAATATCCCTGTGAGCCAGGCGCCGTGGCTCACGCCTGTAATCCCATCACTTTGGGAGGCCAAGGCGGGCAGATCATGAGATCAGGAGATCAAGACCATCCTTGCTAACACAGTGAAACCCCGTCTTTACAAAAAATACAAAAAAAAATTAGCCAGGCGTGGTGGCGGGTGCCTGTAGTCCCAGCTACTCAGGAGGCTAAGGCAGGAGAATGGCATGAACCCAGGAGGCGGAGCTTGCAGTGAGTGGAGAACACGCCATTGCACTCCAGCCTAGGCAACAGAGCGAGACTCCGTCAAAAAAAGAAAAAAAATCCCTGTGAACAACTTACAGCCAAAATGAAACAAATGAAAAAAAAGCTTCATATACTACAAAAGGAACTATCAGAACCAAAAGAAATAAAATCATAGAGAATCAAAAAGTTAAAAGAGAACAAGAGCTCTGCAGTGTGAGGTATGACATACTAGTATATAGGATATTTTTTGTACTAGCTGACTTACCTTCTGAGGTTTAACTGGAGAAAGAAATCTCTGTCTTGCAGAGTGTCAAATCCATTTAAATAATACAAGTTCTTAACTGTGAATACATCTCCTGATAATTAAATGCATATTTATTTAAATCACAATTTTAATGGCTACGTAGAAGGCCATTATTTGGAAACCCCATTATTTACTTAACATTAATTTTTTTTAATTTTTTTGTGTTATAATAAGTGCTGCAAGGCATAACTGCATGTAAATCCATTTCTACCATTCTTATTATTGACTTGGAATAAATTCTTCAATATAAAAATATTTGGTTAAATTATAGGAAGTTTTTAAGAAGTTCTTTGTTCATTACTTCTAAATTGTTCTCAAGAAAATTTATATTCATTTATAGTTCAACAAAGAGAGTGTGAAACAGCCATTCCTCTACCCCCAATAATCATTTTCCTTTAATTATACACTTGTAATCTTAATATGCATGGAGTATAAAGAAAAACATAGAGTAATTTATGACTAGTATATTCAACATCTCTCTCTCTCCTACATAAATAAAGTTAATTCAGAGTTCTATGTTAAAAATACTTATTTTTATTTTTTAATTAAATATTATATTCTGTCTTATTCTAAAAGAGATTTAAAATTTATTGATAAAATATAAAATAATCAACAAGATACATTTAAAGTATTACTAAAAAAAGAAACAAAAGATATATGGGATAACAGATATTAGATTCTTCAGCCTAGTCTCATATTATAATATTATAATTATTTTTAAGGATACTTGCCTTATTTTTTAAAGATGAATATTTATGTCTAATAAATATGTAAACTTGTTTATAAAAAGTAACATCATTTTAATTAGTTAACTCTAAATGATCTGTCCTCATTGAGGAGTAATTTTGACTGTTATATTTTTAAAATAATAATTTTCAACTTATAACTTTACTGGATAGCTTCCAGTATTCTTTTCCATAACAGTTGTTGAAGTTACTAGTAACAGAATCTTTCTAACTAGAAGATGTTCTTTTCTCACTATTTTTCAAGTATGTGTATCATTAGGAAGAGAGTTCAGTAATAAATTAAATAACTCAGAACTAGAAAGGAAAAATGTATTCAAGAATGTAGGAATTTTATTGGAATAATAAACCAACATAGGAAGAAGTAGATCTCAAAGTGAATTCTATTTTCTAACAAAATGAATTTTAAGATAAGTATATTTAATGGCAGATTGACTTTAAAACAAGAAGAAGAGAAGAGAAGAAGTGCCAATATATTAAATGAAAAAATTAGGGAAGAATTAGGAAAATTCAAAAAGCAGCAAAAGAAAAAGTTAGAAGTGAAGCAACTTGAACTCGCTCTCCGAATGTACAAAATATGGAATTGAAGACTGTAAGAAGTAATTTGAATCAGCTGAATCAATCGCTGGTAAAAATTTTATATTTCTAATTTTATTTCATCAATATTACTTTTAATATCACTTCGATTTAGTATATATTATTCAGAATTATGATAATGCCGCTATAATATTTAGGTACAAACTTTTGTATATTTCATTCATACGTTTTCATTTCTATTGGGTATGTACCTAGGAATGGAATTGCTGGGTCGTAAGGTACCTATGCATAACCTTTTCAGCAATCACCTCACAGTTTTCCAAAGTGTGCACTATTTTACTTTCCCACCGGCAATGTATGAAAGATCTAATTTCTCTACGGCCTCACCAGGCTGGAGTGCAGTGGTGCACTCTCAGCTCACTGCAAGCTCTGCCTCCCGGGTTCACGCCATCCTCCTGCCTCAGCCTCCCGAGTAGCTGGGACTACAGTCGCCTGCCACCACACCCGGCTAATTTTTTGTGTTTTTTACCATGTTTCACGGTAACATGGCTAAAGGGGTTTCACCATGTTAGCCAGGATGGTCTGGATCTCCTGAGCTCGTGATCCATCCACCTCAGCCTCCCAAGGTGCTGGGATTACAGGCGTGAGTCACCGCACCCAACCATTTGTCATTTTTCATTGTAGGTACACTAGTGAGTGTTAAGTGATATCTGCTTGTAGTTTTGATTTTGCATTTTCTTGATGACTTGTGATGTTAGGCTTTTCTTCATGCACTTATTGGACACTCTTATATCTTCTTCACAAAAATGTCTATTTAAATATTTTGCCTATTTTTATGATTTTTTTCTTTTTACTGTTGAGTTGTAAAAGTTATTTATGCATTTTGGATACAGATTTCTAATCAAATATATAAGTTGCAAAGATTTTCTCCACTTTTCTGGTTGTTGTTTTATTTTGTTTGTTACGTCCTTTGAAACACAAATGTTTCTAAATTTGATGAAGCCCAGTACATTTTCTTTTATCACTGTGCTTTTGGTGCCATATCTAAGAAACTATTGCCAAATCCAAAGCCATAAAGATTTATTGTTATTTTTTATTCTAAGAGTTTTATAGTTTTCCAATTCAGAAACATAAAATCAAATACTGCATGTTCTTACTTAAAAACGGGAAATACATAATGTGTAAATATGAACAAAGAGTGTAAAATGATAAGACACTGTAGACTCAGAAGGGTGAGAGGGTGGGAGGGGGAAGGGTGATGAGAAATTACTTAGTGGATACAGTGTACATTGTTCCAGTGATAAACACATTAAAAGCTCAGATTTCACTCCTACCCCATATACCCATGTAACAAAATTGCACTTGCACTCCTTAAATTTATACAATTTTAAAAAATGGTTTTAGAGTTTTGGTTCTGCGATTAATTTTGTAATGTTTTATTGTGGTAAAACCTATGTAATAAGCTTTGCCATTTTAAACATAAAATTCGGAGACATTAATTACATTCAGAATGTTGTGCAATCATCAAAACTATGTATTTCCAAAATTTTTTTTCACCCCAAACTGAAACTCTGTACTCATTAAGCAATAACTCCTCATTCTCCCTTTCCTCCCAAGTCCCTGGTAGGAATAAATTTTATGGTATGTTAATTAATTTAAGTGTAAAAAACTAAATGCAGCTGGTGGCTATCATACTGGACCTCACAGTTCTAACACCACCAGTATCAACCCCTGGACAGATATAATCATTTCTAAGCTGCCTTTGCATTTATTATTATTCTATTTATGGTAATCTGTAATCTATTCTCCCACAAAGCTGGACTATTCCTGTAAGAACATATCTTATACCATTTCATTCCCAGCTCTGAATCCTCCAGTGGTTACCTATCACAATTAACAAAGAAATCTAAGCTCTTTACTATGGTCTGTATTTATCTGCTCCTCAGAGTGTGCATTCTCCTTTCCTCCTCCCAGTGCCTGCAGCCTGACTGGTCTTTGTAGTGATCTTTGAGCTCATCAAGTGCTGTCTGTATTCAGACTCTGCACAGTGTCTCTTCTCTCTGCCCTCTAGACATTCGCTTAACTCACTCGGTCATACCATTCTGACCTGCTCAAGTGTCGTCTCCTCAAAAAGATTGTTCCAGAGCTCTCTATCTAAAGTAGCAGTCCTTGACACCCTGAATGTGATTACCCTACATTATTTTCTTTGTAGTATTATACTTTTTATTTACACAAGGTCTCACTCTGTCACCAAGGCTGGGGTGCAGTGGCACAATCATGGATCACTGCAGCCTCAAACTCTGGGGCTCAAGCAGACTTCCTGTCTCAGCCTCCCAAGTAGCTGGGAACACAGGTGAGCACCACCACACTTGGCTAATATACTTCTTCATAGCGCTTAGTACAGCCATCACTTTAGTGTGCAACTGTTTATGCATTTATGTTCTATCTCTGTCACTATACTGCAAGCTACATAAAGACAGACCTTTTCTCTCCAGTTCCCATAATACTACCCAGCATAAAATAGGCTATAAGCAAACATTTATTGAGTACATAAAAGAAGAATCTTATTCATGTCAAGGCTGTAATCTATGTTAGACTCAAAGAGATAGTTTCCTGACTACATAGAAGTGTTTCTTTATTGAAGCATGCCTTTTAAAAAAGTGTTGCACATGGTGGATAAACTTTTGTATGTGCTTCTGGATTCATTTTGCCAGTCTTTTATTGAGGATTTTCACATCAATGTTTATAAGGGCTATTGGCCTGAAATTTTCTTTATTTGTTGTGTCTCTGCCAGGTTTTGGTATCAGGATGACGCTGGCCTCATAAAATGAGTTAGGGAGGAGTCCCTCTTTTACCATTGTTTGGAATAGTTTCAGAAGGAATGGTACCAGCTCCTCTTTATATCTCCAGCATAATTCAGCCATGAATCCGTCTGGTCCCGGGCTTTTTTTGGTTGGTAAGCTATTCATTACTGACTCAATTTCAGAACTTTTTATAGGTCTATTCAGGGATTCTACTTCTTCCTGATTTTGTCGTGGGAGGGTGTATGTGCCAGGAATGTATCCATATTTTCTAGATTTTCAGGTTTATTTGCAGAGAGATGTTTATAGTATTCTCTGAGGGTAATTTGTATTTCTGTGGGATCAATAGTGATGCATCCTTTATCATTCTTTTTTTTTTTTTTTTGAGATGGAGTCTCACTCTGTCACCCAAGCTGGAGTGCAGTGGTGCTATCTCGGCTCACTGCATCTTCCACCTCTGGGGTTCAAGCAATTCTTCTGCCTCAGTCTCCCTAGTAGCTGGGTCTACAGGCACACACCACCACACCCAGCAAATTTTTGTATTTTTAGTAGAGATGGGGTTTCACCATATTGGCCAGGCTGGTCTTGAACTCCTGACTTCATGATCCACCTGCCTTCTCCTCCCAAAGTGCTGGGATTACAGGCATGAGCCACCACACCCAGCCCCTTTTATCATTTTTTATTATGTCTACTTGATTCTTCCCTTTTTTCTCTGTTAGTCTAGCTAGTGGTCCATTTATTTTGTTAATCTCCTGGATTCACTGATATTTTGAAGGGTTTTTCGTGTCTCTATCTCTTTCAGTTCTACTCTGATCATAGTTATTTCTTGTCTTCTGGTAGCTTCTGAATTTGTTTACTCTTCTCTAGGTTTTTTAATTGTGATATTAAGGGGTCGATTTTAGATCTTTCCAGCTTTCTGTTATTGGCATTTAGTGCTATAAATTTCCCTCTTAACACTACTTCAACTGTGTCTCAGAGATTCTGGTACGTTGTCTCTTTGTTCTCACTGGTTTCAAACAACTTTGTTATTTCTGCCTTAATTTCATTATTTACCCAGTAGTCATTCAGGGGCAGGTTGTTCAATTTCCATGTAATTGTGTGGTTTTGAGTGAGTTTCTTTTTTTTTTTTTTTTTTTTTTTTTTTTTTTTTTTTTTTTTTTTTTTGAGACGGAGTCTCGCTCTGTCGCCCAGGCTGGAGTGCAGTGGCGGGATCTCGGCTCACTGCAAGCTCCGCCTCCCGGGTTCACGCCATTCTCCTGCCTCAGCCTCCCGAGTAGCTGGGACTACAGGCGCCCGCCACTACGCCCGGCTAATTTTTTTGTATTTTTAGTAGAGACGGGGTTTCACCGTTTTAGCCGGGATGGTCTCGATCTCTTGACCTCGTGATCCGCCCGCCTCGGCCTCCCAAAGTGCTGGGATTACAGGCGTGAGCCACCGCGCCCGGCCTTGAGTGAGTTTCTTAATCCTGAGTTCTAATTTGTACATGTACAAATTAGAGTACAACATGGAAGGTTATGCAACCATAAAAAAATCATGAGTTCATGTTCTTTGAAGAGACATGGATGAAACTAGAAGCCATCATTCTCAGCAAACTAACACAGGAACAGAAAACCAAACAGTGCATGTTCTCACTCACAAATGGGAGTTGAACAATAACACATGGACACACGGAGGGGAACATCACACACAGAGGCCTGTCAGGGGTTGGAGGGGAAGAGGAGGGAGAGCATTAGGACAAATACCTCATGCATGTGGGGCTTAAAACTTAGATTACAGGTTGATAGATGGAGCGAACCACCACAGCACATATATACCTATGTAACAAACCTGTACATTCTGCACATGTATCCCAGAAATTAAAGTAAAAATTTTAAAACAGATATAAATATTGTATACATAAAAAAGACATACAATGTTTATGAATAGAAAGATTTTATATTGTAAATAAGTCATTTCTACTCATTAAATTATGGTTGAATGCAATCCTACTCAAAATCCTATCAGGTAATTTGGAAATGGACAAGCTAATTTAAATTTTTTTTGAAAATTTAAAAGGACAAGAGAACCAAGAAAGTTCTGAAGAAGAATAGAGCTCAAGAATCTATACCATCAGATGTCTCCAACTTTATTACAATTAAAATAAGATGGTATTAGCAGGACATACAAATAGAGAAATCAAAAGCAAACTCATACTTATACCATCACCTGATTTATGACAAAGGTGAAACTGCAGTGCAGTGAGGAAATAACAATCTTCTCAATAAATGGTGGTAGATAATTTGGATATCAATATGGGGGAATAAAAGACTTTAACCCTTGTCTTGCATCAGAAACAAAAGTCAATCGTAGGTGGGTTATAAAGCTCAATCTGAAAGGGTAAAAATTTTTTAAAAAGCTTCTGTAACATAGAAGAATACCTTTATGACAATTGGGTAGACAAAAATTTCTTAAGCAAGACTAAATAAGCATTAACTACACAGAAAAAGTCTGATAAATTGAACTACATTAAAATGAAGAAATTGGCATTAACGAAGTCACCATTAAGAGAAAGAAAAGACAAGTTAAATTGAGAGAAGATATCTGCAATGTTTAGGTCCAATCAAAAATTTATATCCAGAATGTATAAAAATTTCCTATAAATCTTCATATATTCTGGATATAAATTTTTGATTGGACATAAACCAAAAAAAGGCCAGGACCAGATGGATTCACAGCTGAATTCTACCAGAGGTAAAAAGAGGAGTTGGTACCATTCCTTCCGAAACTATTCCAATCTATAGAAAAAGATGGAATCGTCCCTAACTCATTTTATGAGGCCAGCATCATCCTGATACCAAAGCCTGGCAGAGACACAACAAAAAAAGAGAATTTTATACCAATATCCCTGATGAACATTGATGCAAAAATCCTCAATAAAATACTGGCAAACCAAATCTAGCAGCACATCAAAAAACTTATCCACCATGATCAAGTGGGCTTCATCCCTGGGATGCAAGGCTGGTTCAACATACGCAAATCAATAAATGTAATCCAGCATATAAACAGAACAAATGACAAAAACCACATGATTATCTCAATAGATGCAGAAAAGGTCTTTGACAAAATTCAACAACCCTTCATGCTAAAAACTCTCAATAAATTAGGTATTGATGGGACGTATCTCAAAATAATAAGAGCTATCTATGACAAACCCAAAGCCAGTATCATACTGAATGGGCAAAAACTGGAAGCATTCCCATTGAAATCTGGCACAAGACAGGGATGCCCTCTCTCACCACTCCTATTCAACATAGTGTTGGAAGTTCTGGCCAGGGCACTAAGGCAGGAGAAAGAAATAAAGATTATTCAATTAGGAAAAGAGGAAATTCAATTGTCCCCGTTTGAAGATGACGTGATTGTATATTTAGAAAACTCCATCGTCTCAGCCCAAAATCTCCTGAAGCTGATAAGCAACTTCAGCAAAGCCTCAGGATACAAAATCAATGTGCAAAAATCACAGGCATTCTTATACACCAACAACAGACAAACAGAGAGCCAAATCATGAGTGAACTGCCATTCACAATTGCTTCAAAGAGAATAAAATACCTAGGAATCCAACTTACAAGGGATGTGAAGGACCTCTTCAAGGAGAACTAGAAACCACTGCTCAAGGAAATAAAAGAGGATACAAACAAATGGAAGAACATTCCATGCTCATGGGTAGGAAGAATCAATATCGTGAAAATGGCCATACTGCCCAAGGTAATTTATAGATTCAATGCCATCCCCATCAAGCTACCAAAGACTTTCTTCACAGAATTGGAAAAAACTACTTTAAATTTCAAATGGAACCAAAAAAGAGCCCGCGTCTCCAAGTCAATCCTAAGCAAAAAGAACAAAGCTGGAGGCATGACGCTACCTGACTTCAAACCATACTACAAGGCTACAGTAACCAAAAGAGCACGGTACTGGTACCAAAACAGAGATATAGACCACTGGAACAGAACAGAGCCCTCAGAAATAATACCACACATCTGCAACCATCTGATCTTTGACAAACCTGACAACAACAAGAAATGGGGAAAGGATTCCCTATTTAGTAAATGGTGCTGGGAAAACTGGCTAGCCATATGTAGAAAGCTGAAACTGGATCCCTTTCTTACACCTTATACAAAAATTAATTCAAGATGGATTAAAGACTTAAATGTTAGACCTAAAACTATAAAAACCCTAGAAGAAAACCTAGGCAATGCTATTCGGGACATAAGAATGGGCAAGGACTTCATGTCTAAAATACCAAAAGCAATGGCAACAAAAGCCAAAATTGACAAATGGGATCTAATTAAACTACAGAGCTTCTGCACAACAAAAGAAACTACCATCAGAATGAACAGGCAACCTACAGAAAGGGAGAAGATTTTTGCAATCTACTCATCTGACAAAGGGCTAATATCCAGAATCTGCAAAGGACTCAAACAAGTTTACAAGAAAAAAACAAACAACCCCATCACAAAGTGGGCAAATGATATGAACAGACACTTTTCAAAAGAAGACATTTATGCAGCCAACAGACCATGAAAAAATGCTCATCATCACTGGTCATCAGAGAAATGCAAATCAAAACCACAATGAGATACCATCTCACACCAGTTAGAATGGCAATCATTAAAAAGTCAGGAAACAACAGGTGCTGGAGAGGATGTGGAGAAATAGGAACACTTTTACACTTTTGCTGGAACTGTAAACTAGTTCAACCATTGTGGAAGTCAGTGTGGCAATTCCTCAAGGATCTAGAGCTAGAAATACCATTTGACCCAGCCATCCCATTACTGGGTGTATAACCAAAGGATTATAAATCATGCTGCCATAAAGACACATGCACATGTATGTTTATTGTGGCACTATTCACAATAGCAAAGACTTGGGAACCAACCCAAATGTCCATCAATGATAGACTGGATTAAGACAATGTGGCACATATACACCATGGAATACTATGCAGCCATGAAAAAGGATGAGTTCATGTCCTTTGTAGGGACATGGATGAAGCTGGAAACCATCATTCTCTGCAAACTATCACAAGAACAAAAAACCAAACACAGTATGTTCTCACTCATAGGTGAGAATTGAACAATGAGAACACTTGGACAGAGGAAGGGGAACATCACACACCAGGCCCTGTTGTGGGGTGGGGGAAGAAGGGAGGGATAGCAATAGGAGATATACCTAATGTAAGTGACGAGTTAATGGGTGCAGCACACCAACATGGCCCATGTATACATATGTAACAAACCGCACGTTGCACACATGTACCCTAGAACTTAAAGTATAAAAAAATTATTAAAAATCATTGAAATGTACACTTTAAAAAACAACAAAAAAAGAGTGTATTTTATCAGGATTCTGAGTAGAGTGCTCTAGAGTATGACATAGGTTAGGGAATGTCTTAATAAGGTTCAAAATTCTAGGAATAATGAAACTAGCAAAAAAGTTTTGAATAATGCCAGGGATTCAACTGCCTCCCTGGCCTTTCCCTGCCAATCAATGTGCCCCAGCAGCCAATTTACACAGCACTGTGTGCAGGCTTGTAAATAGACCTTCCAGTTCTGCTATAATCAAGACCTTATTGTCCATAACTCAATTTGGAGAAGGTTTAGCTGTCTACCAACTCTTGTGCAGAGTTTCTGTGAGGTTTTGTTTTGGGTTGCAAGAATCTGGAAAACAAATGCAGATATTTTTGAGGAAGATTTTGAAATTTCTATTTACAAGGTACCAAAAATGGGATGCAAACTCGAATTTGGTTGATGTTCTGAAATACATACCTGTGTCTTGAGATTTGCTTGAGCAAACCTTTAACCATGGAAATTTGAAACAATGATTTCCGGGTTGAAATAATTCCAGTTTTGTCATTTAAATACCACAAACGAATCTGTTTTAGCACAGGGTACAAATATCTTTTTTCCTTTTGTGCATTTGGCAATAGTGTGTTTTGGTAATAAAACATAGCTCTGCATATTAATGAAACATAGCTCTGCATATTTTGTCTGGGGAAAATTAGCATTCTGTGAACAAAGTCAACAATTTCTGGCCTCACATTAGTTTTCCTATTATAATTAAAACTTAGTTTTGGCCAGGCGCGGTAGCTCATGCCTGTATTCCCCGCACTTTGGGAGGCCAAGGCAGGCGGATCACGAGGCCAGGAGGTCGAGACCATCCTGGCTAACATGGTGAAACTCTGTCTCTACTAAAAATACAAAAAAAAAAAAAAATTAGCCAGGTGTGGTGGCGGGCGCCTGTAGTCCCAGCTACTCAGGAGGCTGAGACAGGAGACTGGCATGAACCTGGGAGGCAGAGCTTGCAGCGAGCCGAGATCACGCCACTGCACTCCAGCCTGGGTGACAGAGCGAGACTCTGTCAAAAAAAACAAAAACAAAAAGAAACAAAAAAAAACACTTAGTTTTGAAAATATCTTGGTGTTAAATTTCCAATGCTTCAATATTACAATTAAAACCTTGCTTTACTGAGAGCAGAAACATAATGCAGAAAAGAAAAAAGACCAACAGTCTCTAGATTGCTGGATTTATGTGGATATGATGGGGTTGGTGTTAAACGATTTCTCCCTTGAATCATAGCAAAGATGATTTTGTGACGCATAGCTCTTTCATAAATATACTTTCCAACCATTCAGCATTACCTATCTTTTGGTTTATTTTGCTTTGTGTTTCTGCTCTGATATCATTTCTGGAAACAAATTACAGTAAAAAATTTATTGAGAGCTGGCATTGTGAATTGTGCCTAGGACTTAATTCATACAGAGAAGGTGAATTCTGCTGAAAGGTGCTTAATACACTGCCCTCCAAATCAAGAGAAACAGGCCATTCTGGGACACACATAGCCTGTCTCACACAGGGGTTAGGAAGCAGAGATATCAGGGAATTGGGACTATGTCTTCATGATAGATATGGTTAGGCTTTGTGTGCCCCCATCTCATCTTGAATTGTAATCCCCATATGTTAAGGGAGACACCTGGTGGGAAGTGATTGGATCATGGGGGGTAGTTCCCCCCATGCCGTTCTTGTGATACTGAGTGAATTCTCATGAATTCTGATGGTTTTATAAATCGTAGTTTTTTCTGCACACACACACATGTTCTTTTTCCTGCTGCCATGTAAGAAGGTCCAGTTTGCTTCTCCTTTGCCTTTTGCCATGATTGTAAGTTTCCTGAGGCCTCCCCAGCTATGAGGAACTGTGAGTCAATTTAACCTCTTTGCTTTATAAATTACTCAGTCTTGGGAAGATTTTTATTGCAGTGTGAGAATGGACTATTACAGTAAATTCGTACTGGTAGAGTTGGATACTGCTATAAAGATACCAGCAATGTAAAAGTGACTTTGGGTCTGGAGATGGAGATGAGAAACCTATTGGGAACTACTGCAAAGGTCACTCTTGCTATGCTTAAGCAGAAACTGGCAGCATTTTCCCCTGCCCTAAAGAGCTGTGGAACTTTGAACTTAGATGATCTGAAATAGAAACTTACGTTTAAAAGGGAAGCAGAGCATAAAAGTTTGGAAAAATTTGCAGCCTGATAATGCTATAGAAAAGAAAAACCCATTATTGGGGGTAAAAGTTCAAGCCAGCTGCAAAAATTTGCATAAGCCACAAGGAGCCTAATGTTAATCACCAAGACAATGGGGAACATGTCTCCAGGGCATGTCAGAGACCTTCACAGAAGCCTTTCACATCACAGACCAGGAGGTCTAAGAGGAAAAAAATGGCTTTGTGTGCAGGGTCCAGGCCTTGCTGCTTTGTGCCACCTCAGTACTTGGTGCCCTGTGTCCCAGCCACTACATCTGTGGATAAAAGGGGCCAAGGTACAGTTCAGACCATTGCTTCTGTAGGTACAAGCCCCAAGCTTTGTTGGCTTCCATGTGGTGTTGAGCCTGTGAGTGCACAGAAGTCAAGAATTGGGGTTTGGGAACCTCCACCTAGATTTAAAAGCATGTAAGGAAAAGCCTGGATATACAGGAAGAAGTTTGCTGCAGGGGTGGAGCCCTCATGGAGAACCTCTGTTAGGGCAGTGCAGAAGAGAAATGTGAGGTCAGAGCCTTCACACACAGTCCCCACTGAGGCACTGCCTAGTGGAGCTGTGAGAAGAGAGCCACTATTCTCCAGATCCCAGAATGGTAGATCAACCAACAGCTTGCATTGTACATCTTGAAAAGCTGCAGACACTCAATGCCAGCCTATGAAAGCAGCTTTGAATGGGGCTGTACCCTGCAAAGGCACAGGGGCAGAGCTGCCCAAGACCATGAGAGCCTACTTCTTGCACCAGTGTGACCTGAATGTGAGACACATGGTCAAAGGAGATTATTTTGGAGCTTTAAAATTCAATGACTACCCTGCTGGATTCTGGACTTGCATGGGGCCTTTAGCCCCTTTGTTTTGTCCAGTTCTCCTATATGGAATGGGAGCATCCTCATCCAACGCCTGTACCTTCATTGTATCTTAGAAGTAATTAACTTGGTTTTGATTTTATAGGCCATGCTAATCAGTGTTCAGTTCCAGATTCCAATTTATTCTCAGTGTGCCTGTATAACTTTTCTTTCCATATATATGGAATTAAATTTCTATTACTTATTTGAATGTTATAGAATACTGTTCATATATTTAAAATAAAACCACCAGGTATAATGACTTCTGGCTTAGTATAAAAAAGCTTTTACCCAGTTAGCATTATTTACACAGGTGGATGTGGCTCCACAACATTTAGAGAAGAAGAACTAATTCAGCTGTCATATGTTGCCGTGACTCAGCCTCTGAAGTGATTATGAAAAAATCCAAATTTCAGCAAAATTATATGGTTGTTTTCAGTACCTCTGAAGGTGGTATATCAAGAATTCTCATGCTACTGTTTGAGAAAACAGATTCTGTTATTACCTGGAAAATCAACTGCAAGGCATTTTTATAACCTTATCCCATGTAAAAAAAATACATTGAAATGTATTAATAAATGCAGACTACATTACTTGAAAAATGGTAATACAGAATGCCACTTTTAATATTTGAGAATATGAAATTTTGGTAAAAATAATGTAAAATAAAGTTTCTGGTAAGCCTTGGGCAGTTAAATTTACATCAGAGTAAAGTAGGATGAAAATCTGTAAAAAATAAAAACAAAAAAACAAACAAAAACCTACACAAAAAAATCCTAACATCCACCAATGCATACATATTGATCTTTGTGCTGGGAAAATCTAAAGCAAAACATTTTGGTAAACTTGACAGTTATTTATTTTGACTATATTGGCATGTTGATACTGCTTATATTTAATTTGAGTGAAACATGTCCACATTATTAAAAGTGTTGCTTTGTACTATGAATGATGGATGTAAAGTCTTGATCCTCATCCAAATAAATATGGCAACACTTTCTTCTGCTTCTTTCAAGCTGAGGCATTATGAAAGCTCAAATTTGAAGTGAGAGGGACTTAACATCAGAGCCTGAAAAACCAAGAGGAATGAGGTAGGATGATCAGCTCTGAAGCTCAGGGTGGCCTGGGGAAATTCAATATAATGATGTCAACTATGAAGCTTACTGGGTAAAACTACAAATAGGCTGATCTCATTTTACAGAGGTAAACCCACACTCCCTTTTCCAAGAAAGTAAAAAACAAAACAAGCAAATAAAACTAAAAATACAAACTTGAAAACATCATGGCTTAAATTTGGTGGGAAGAAGCCTCTGGTATCAAAAATAGTTGTGCCAAAAGAATTGAGCCAGCCAGGTGTGGTGTCTCACTCCTGTAATCCCAGGACTTTGGGAGGCTGAGGTGGGCAGACAACCTGAGATCAATAGTTTGAGAACAGCCTGGCCAATATAGTGAAGCCCCATCTCTACTAAAAATAAAAAAAAATTAGCCGGGTATGGTGGGAGGCACTGTAATCCCAGTTACTTGGGAGGCTGAGGCAGGAGAATAGTTTCAACCCAAGAGGCGAAGGTTGCAGTGAGCCGAAGTCGTGCCATTGCACTCAAGCCTGGGCAACAAGAGCAAAACTCTGTCAATTAAAAAAAAAAAAAGAATTGAGCCAGAATAAAATGTATTTAAGGGTTACTAAGGGGAATGTTTCTAGCACATAAGTATTTGTTCCATGTCTTATTATATTATATTAGGCAATATCCTTTCATGTAATGTCAGCTTCTCCAAGATAGGGATGTCAAAGAGAAACTAAGACAAGTGCCTAATATGCCATAGGCATTTTGTTCTCAAATTTAACAAACTTGAAATGATTGTATAAATTTTACTGAACTGTGTTTTATGTATAAAACTCACCTAAAGGCATTATCCAGTACATACAACCTTCAGTCTTTTCTGGGATGTTCTGTTGCCTGATTTCAAATCAAACTTATTGAAATTCTAGCAATTTCTCCAGTCCCAGATGTAAAAATAAAAAAGCGGAAATAAAGCCAAATTACCCCCAAAAGAATATGCATTATACGTATAGAACAAATGAACCCAAAACCACATAAGGTAAACAAATCTACTGGTTCAAAATTAAGCCTAACTTCAACAGTACCAGGCAAAAACCATTTGTAAAAATTACCAAAGTCAAAATACAGAAACCCTTAGTCTATTATGCCAATAAATATCAGGGAACCTGCCCCGATAGTCACGTAGGTTCTTTTCTATTTTCCCTAAGTGTCAGCTGGTTTGAGAAATAAAGGGGGAGAGTACAAAAGAGAGAAATTTTAAAGCTGGGCATCCCAGGGAGATATCACATGTCGGTACGTTCCGTGATGCCCCCCAAGCCACAAAACCAGCAAGTTTTTATTAGGGACTTTCAAAAGTGGAGGAAGTGTACGAATAGGGTGTGGGTCATAAAGATCACGTACTTCACAAGGTAATAGAATATCACAAGGCAAACAGAGGCAGGGCAAGTTCACAAGACCACAGGACCGGGGCAAAATTAAAACTGCTATTGAAGTTTCAGACACCATTGTCATTGACAACATCTTAACAGGAGACAGGGTTTGAGAGCAACTGGTCTGACCAAAATTTATTAGGCAGGAATTTCCTCTTCCTAATAAGCCTGGGAATGCTACAGGAGACTGGGGTTTATTTCACCCATACAGTTTTGACCATAGAAGATGGCCACACCCAAGGGGGCCATTTATAGGCCCACCCTCAGGGGTGCATTCTCTTTCTCAGGGATGTTCCTTGCTGAGAAAAAGAATTCAGTGATATTTCTCCCATTTGCTTTTCAAAGAAGAGAAATATGGCTCTGTTACACCTGGATCACCAGCCGTCAGAGTCTAAGGTTATCTCTCTTATTCCCTGAACAATTGCTGTTATCCTGTTCTTTTTTCAAGGTGCCCAGATTTCATATTGTTCAAACACACATGCTCTACAACCTGTGCGGTTAATGCAATTATCACAGGGTCCTGAGGTGACATACATCCTCCTCAGCTGACAGGATTAAGAGATTAAAGTAAAGATAGGCATAGGAAATTACAAGCGTATTGACTGGGGAAGTGATAAGTGTCCATGAAATCTTCACAATTTGTGTTTAGAGATTGCAGTAAAGACAGGCATAGGAAATTATAAAAGTATTAATTTGGGGAACTAATAAATGTCCATGAAATCTTCACAGTCCACATTCTTCTGCCATGGCTTCAGCCGGTCCCCCCATTTGGGGGTCCCTGACTTCCCACAACAAATAAAAATTAGCATTTAAAAAATACATTAAATATAACAGAACGTATACAATTACAATAAAATATTTTTAAATGATAATCTTATTTTCAAATATTTACTGTATTTAGACAAGACTTTTAATGAAAAATACTTATAGCTACAATGTATGAATTAAAACAGCCCTGGAAGAAATAGTAATTCTATTAATAATAAAGATTAAGGCAGGGTGTAGTGGCTCACACCTATTATCCCAGCACTTTGGGAGGCCAAAGTGGGCAGACCACCTGAGGTCAGGAGTTTGCGACCAGCCTGGCCAACATGGTGAAACCTCGTCTCTACTAAAAATACAAAAATTAGCCAGGCATGGTGGCAGGCATCTGTAATCCCAGCTACTTGGGAGGCTGAGGAAGGAGAATTGCTTGAACCTGGGAGGTGGAAGTTGCAGTGACCTGAGATTGCACCATTGCACTCCAGCCTGGATGACAAGAGTAAGAATCCATCTAAAAAAAAAAAAAAATTAAAGCTTCAAGGTTGTGGAATAATTTATCCTGGACACACAGCTAATGACCCAAATCAAGCTCAGATGTGTTTGATTTTAAAATTCTCCTTTTTCCACTGTGGACAATGTTGATGTAACAGTTAAATCTTGGTCTCAGAGTTGGTGGTTGGGAACAAATCAAGGCAAGTACTATTATGATTTGTTTTGTATTCTTTATCACCAACATTTTCTTCTCTAATATGTCAGTATTTACATTTGGACCACAGCTGACTTTTACTGAAGTCTACTATAAAACATGGCTAAATTGAAAATTAATGTGATCACAAAATGATTTGTCATGAAAGCAGGTATAATTTTCAAGTTTCAGCTCAGTCTCAAATTTGTATCTATTTGAATTTTTTGAGTATTTCTGACATATACTCAAGTAAATATCAAATGTATTGTTTTATTCAATTTTTGGGATTCAATTAAAAAATAATTTGTATTCAAGTTTGTTGTTATATTTACTTTTGACCAAATTTGACTTTCCAAGCAGGAAAAGCTAAAGCATTTTTTTCAAAGGTTCAAGGGACTTAAGCTTACTGGCATCAAATGTTCTGTAGTAAAACAGGCAAATAAAACCTAATATTTTTATCAATAATAATTTAATAGTTTTATGTCTGAGAACCTAAGAATCAAAGACATCAACTCCAGATGATGTCAATTGCATAATTACACTGGTAAGATAGAAAATGATTATGAGAGTCTAACAAATGATGGATATGGCAACCTAACACTTGACAAAACCATTCAGGATGTGTTAGACAAACAAGAAGGTACTGCTAATGTAAAGCTTTTTCTTTCTCTAACTTTACTTTTTTTTTTTTTTGAGATGGAGTCTTACTCTGTTGCCGAGGCTGGAGTGCAGTGGTGCAATCTCGGCTCACTGCAAGCTCCGCCTCCCAGGTTCATGCCATTCTCCTGCCTTAGCCTTCCAAGTAGCTGGGACTACAGGCACCTGCCATGACTCCTGGCTAATTTTTTATATTTTTTAGTAGAGACAGGCTTTCAACGTGTTAGCCAGGATGGTCTCAGTCTCCTGACCTTGTGATCCGCCTCGCCTCCCTCAGCCTCCCAAAGTGCTGATATTATAGGCATGAGCCACCGAGCCTGGCCCAACTTTACTCTTTATTCTCAACCTTACAACCATCAGATACTCTTGTACACAGAATAAGAAAAATCAACTTTTTTTCCTTGAAGACAATGTTTCATCTTGTATTTTATAATATCTGTTCCACATTGCTGTGACAATGCTGTTGAAGTGCACCTTCCTTCCTTCACCAAAAGATCACCTGTGTGAATTTGAATAGATGGTCACTGGAGGGGACCAGCTTGGCACACTGGATTGAATTGTCTCTTTGCTTTTCAGGCAAAGCGGCTTTGAAAAGACTGAAAATAAAGAGACTGCTGATTAAGCAGATGGCTTGCCATGTCAATAGGACAATTGTTTGAAAATCATGTCGCATGAACCACAACTATTAAAATGTGAAATGCATGATGCAAATAGTGCACAAAAAAATAGAATGAAAATGATGAATCCAGCCATAAAAGACAGCCAAACTCCATTTTAGCAATAAAGTAAAATATAATCTGCTGTCAGGGGAAGGTAATTTGAAGCACTTGAGATATTCTTTAATTTAAAAATCCAAAAATATTTTTAGCTTTAGTTACTATAATACATGTTTAAGCATTTTCCATTTGAAATAAAATTTTAATTTCATGCTTTGTCAGTTTAGTTTCCCTAAATAAATAGAAAATAGTAAAATATCACATACTAAAAAAATCAACTTCTTTGGTAATAAATCAGTTCAACTGTCAGACCAAAACATTGTTACATTTTACCCAATGTCATGCTGACCAATTTGATCAAATGCCACTTCCTTATAACTAAGAGAGATGCAAAGATGTAGACTTTATGTTGAGTGAGACAGGTAAGGATTACTAGGAGCTAGATAATTGTCGATTTTCATTACTATTTTGTCTCTATGTTAATTAATGGTCTTGATTCAAGAAAATTTTTTTAAAAACTCATCTTCTCCGTCAGGCAAAATATTAACAAAAACGCATATAAATGAAGGCATTTAACACAGTCATAGTTTACATTTTAAAATTAATATACTTCTAGAAATAACAAAAAAAGAAAAAAGATATAAAAAAGAAATGAACTTAATTTTTGTTGCAAAGCACTCATTACTAAACCTAACACAAATACTTTGGTAAAGGCTTTCTAACACTGACATTCTTCTCAGGACTTAAAAGAGCCACTAATTTTACTTTTGACATATATTTAGTTTTAATGTTAAAAGCTAAAAGGAGCCTATTATTTTATTTATAATTTGTGCTCTGCATGTACATCATCATCCATTGAGTCGACTAAGGTTTCTGAAAGTTTCAGAAACAGTAACATAAGAATACTTTTTCTGGCCATGCATGGTGGCTCACGCCTGTAATCCCAGCACTTTGGGAGGCCGGGGTGGGGGGATCACCTGAAGTCAGGCATTCGAGATCAGCCTGATGAACCTGGTGAAACCCCATCTCTACTAAAAATACAAAATTAGCTGGGTGTGGTGACACATGCCTGTAACCCCAGCTACTCCTTTAATGACCATATGTGAAGTTTCTTTTGAACTAATCATAACTACCTATTTTTATTGCTTTTTTTGCTCCTATTAGAAAAAAATATTAAAGTTCCTGTTACTACAAACACAAACTATTCAAATCTAAGCATAGTGCTTATCTTAAAAGATCTGTATGCTTGGAATTATGGAAATCCTATTCTCCATTTAAAATACTGCTTTTCAGTAAGCCAAATGGGGCAAATGTGGCTCACAATCATGTTATTAAATATTAATACCATCATCAAGATGGAACTTTTAGTTATCTACATGTTCAAATGGTTTTAACTTATAATAAGTCAGAAGCTATAAATTTTTATAAACTATAAAAATAAACAAAAAATATATTTGTCAATGCATTTTTTTCAGTTTTAAAATACTTAGCCCCAGGATTATTTCTAGTTGACATAACACTAGATTTCAGATGATGTGGATGTAGAAACTAGAAACGTCCTGGTTGACTCTGCTTCACTTTCTGCCTTCATTTAGCACACAATCATAGCAGCACAATGAAAGCCAGCAATGCTACCCCTTTTGAAAAACACACCACTGCCCTTCTAGGGAGAATATATGTGTGAAAAGATTCAACTGAAAGTCATGCCATCTTTTCTTTTATTTACAGACTTATATATGATAAATAATACAAATAAAAATTTAACACTTCCATATAATCAGAAAATTATTCTAAAAATTCCTTCTGACACATTATTCTTTTTCACCAAAATGGTTGTGATGCAATGATTGCCTTTGCAGGACTGTTGTCTTAAATAACCAATACTCCCGTTTCATTGTTCTTGAGCTTTAAACATAAAGCTTTCATGCTTTTTCTAGAAATGTCATTTCCTAATTATGTCACTTAGGTATGATTGCCATAGCTTCGTATTTTCAAAAATGGTTCTAAAAAAACTTAAACCACTGACCATCTTTGTTTCCCAAAGGAGTAGACTAATAAATTAACACTATCATCTAGCATACTGTAAATAGATGAAAAATGAAGATGTAGAGCAGTGGTGTCCAATTTTTTGGCTTCCCTAGGACACACTAGAAGAATTGTCTTGAGCCATACATAAAATACACCAATGATGATTAAAAAAATCACAAAAAACTCATAATGCTTTTAGAAAGTTTATGAATTTGTTTAGGGCTGCACTGAAAGCCATATTGGGCCACATGCAGCCTGTAGGTCATGAGTTGGACAAGCTTCACGTACAGTCATTTATTTTAGCTGCACACTCAAGACTAAGGCCAAGAGCTTTCAGAGAAAATAGCTTATAGGCTGTCAGGAGACCTGTTATAGAAACATTCACCCCTATGTCTAAAGGGGACAAAATTCTATGTCTTCCACCCTTAATTCCAACCATTAACCAAAACTGGAGAAATCTAACATGGCATTATATCACAAAGTACTTTATTATTTTTATTTTGGGTTCAAGGATACATGTGCAGATTTGTAACATAGGTATACTGCATGACGTTGAGGTTCGGACAATTAATAATCCCATTGCCCAGGTAGTGTACATTATACATGATAAGTACTTTTTAACCCTTGTACCCCTTCTCCCTCCATTTTGGAATCCTTTGTGTTTATTGTTCTCATCTTTGCTTCCATGTGTACCCAATGTTTAGCTTCCAATTATAAGTGAGAAAATGTAGTATTTGGTTTTCTGTTCTGTGTTAATTTGCTTAGGATCATGAACTTGAGTTGCACCCATGTTGCTGCAAAGAGTATTACATGATTCTTCTTCAGTGGCTGCATAGTATTGGATGGTGTGTAATTACCTAATTTTTAAAATCCATCTTAAGATTTATGAGCACATGGTTTCATTCCACGTTTTTGCTATTGTGACTAGTGCTGCAATAAACATATGAGTGCAGGTGTCTTTTTGGTAGAAAAATTTATTTGTGTTTGGGTATATGTCCCGTAGTGAGGCTGCTGGGTCAAATGGTAACTTTAGTTTTAGTCCTTTGAGAAATCCCCAAAATGCATTCTACAGGAGCTGAACTAATTTGCATTCCCACTAAGAGCATATCAGGCTTCTCTTTTCTACACAATTTTAACATCCGTTTTTTTTACTTTTTAATAATAGTTCATTTAGACTGGGGTGAGATGGTATCACATTGTGGTTTGGATTTACGTCTCTCTAATCATTAGAAATGTTGATCAATTTTTCATATATTTGATGGCTGCTTTTTTTGTCTTTTAAAAATATATGTTCACATTTTTTGTCAACATTTTTTCTTAAATTCTTTATAAAACATATATATTAGTTATTTGTTGTATGCAGTTTACACATATTTTAGCTCATACTGTAGGTCATCTGTTTATTTTGTTAATAGTTTCTCTTGCTGTGCAGGTCACAATTTTTAATTTTTTTTTGTTGCTTTCACTTTTGAGGATGTAGTCATTAATTCTTTACAGAGACCAATGCCAAGGAGAGAATTTTCTAGGTGTTCTTCTAGGATTTTTATAGGTTGAAATCTTACAGATAAGTCTTTAATGTATCTTGAGTTAATTTTCTATATCATGAGAAGTAGCAGTCGAGTTTTCCTCTTCTGCATATGACTAACCAGTTTTTCCAGCACCTTTTATTGGGTAGGGAGTTCTTTCCATTTGTTTCTGTTGATGCTGTCAAAAATTAATTAATTGTAAGAGTTCAGCTTCATTTCAAGGCTCTCTCTTCTGTTCAATAGGGATGTGTACGTGTGTGTATCTGCATCCATATTATATTGGTTACCATAGCTTGTGGTAAAGTTTGAAGTTTGGTAACATAACGTATCCAGGTTTATTCTTTTTGTTCAGTATAGCCTTGGCTATTTGAGCTTTTTTGTTTTCATATAAATTTTACAATAGTTTTTTTTGTCTAATTTTATAAAAAATGGCATTGGTAGAGTGATAGAAATAGAAATAAACTGTCGATTGTTTGGGCAGTATGAATTTTTTAACAATTCTAATCCATTAGCATGAAATACAATTCCATTTATTTGCACTGTGTCTGATTTCTTTCAGTAGTGGTTTGTAGTTCTTCTAGTAGAGATATTTAACCTCCTTTGTTTAATGGATCACTATTTTATTTTTTGTTTCTGGCTATTGTAAACTGGATTGTGTTCTTAATTTTGCTCTGCTTAAGTGTTACTGGTGTATAGAAATGTTCCTCATTTTGAATGCTGTTTTGCTTTTTGTTGTTGTTGCTGAGATTTTGCTGAAGTCTTTTATTAGGCTTAGGAGTCTTTTGGAGGAGTCTTTGAAGTGGGTAGAAAATTATATCATCAGTAAAGACAGATAAGTTGATTTCCTCTTTTCTTATTTGAGTGATTTTTCCTTCTTTATCTTGCCTGATTGTTCTGGCTAAAACTTTCAGAACTATGTTGAATAGGAGTGGTGAAAGTGCACATTCTTTTCTTATTTCAATTTTTAGGAAGGATTCATTAATCTTTCACCTGTTCAGTATGATGTTGGCTGAGGATTTGCCTTATATGGCTGTTATTATTTTGAGGTATGTTCTTTCAATGCCTAGTTTTTTGAGAATTTTTTACATAAATAGATATTACATTTTATTAATTGCTATTTCCACATCTATTGAGGTAATGTGGTTTTGTTTTTGAATTATTTTTATACGTTGAATCACATTTATAGATTGCGCATGTTAAAACATTCCTGCATTCACAGAATAATGTCCACATAGTTGCAGTGAAATAACTTTGATTTCCTGACTCAGTTTGCAAGCATTTAATGAATAATTTTTGTGTGTGTATTCATCAGGGATATTGGCCTGTAATTTTTTTTGTTGTGTCTTTACTTGATTAATATATCAAGATGAGACTGATATTATATGATAGAATTAATTAGGAAGGAGTCCCACTTTGATTTTTTGGAATACTTTCTGTAGAATTACAACCAACTAATTTTTGTATATGTGATAAAATCATGCTGTGAATGTATCTGGTTCAGCACTTTTTATAATTGGTAGATATTTTTTATCACCAATTCAATTTGCTTACACGTTTTTGATTTCTTCAAGACTTCTGTTTATTCCTGATTCAATCTTGGGAGGTTGTATATTTCTAAGAGTTTATTCATTTCCTCTAGACTTTCTAGTTGGTGTGCACAGAGATATTTATAGTAGTCTGCAAGTATCTTTTGTATTTTTGTGGGATTGGTTGTCACAAATGTAACATTCAAATAGATGTATAATGAAAGTGTAACAAAATTCAATATCTCCTCATAATAAAACTCTTGAACTAGTTATAAAATGAATGCAACTCAAGGTAATGTCATGTGTAACAACAATGCACACCTAACATACTAAATAAGGAAAAACTGTAAGCCTTTTCTCTAAGAGCTAGAACAAGCCAAGGATGTCTAATTTCTCCAATCCTTTTTTTTTTTTTTTTTGAGATGGAGTCTCGCTCTGTTGCCTAGGCTGGAGTGCAGTAGTGCAATTTTGGATCACTGCAAGCTCTGCCTCTCAGGTTTACACCATTCTCCTGCCTCAGCCTCCTGAGTAGCTGGGACGACAGGTACCTGCCACCACGCCTAGCTAATTTTTGTATTTTTAGTAGAGACAGGGTTTCACCTTGTTAGCCAAGATGGTCTTGGTCTCCTGACTTCGTGATGCATCCACCTCTGCCTCCCACAGTGCTGGGATTACAGGTGTGAGCCACCAAGCCCAGCCCAATTCCTTTGATCTTACTGAACATAATACAAAATGACGAAGACAGAAAAATTTTTCAATAAAGTCAAAGCAATCTTAAAAAAAATGAAGAAGATAAATTATATTTTCCTTGCAGATGATATAAACTTAAGTACAGAAAAACCTAGGAGTTCACAAAAAATTATTAGAATAAACAAATTTATTAAACATGCAGGATACAAAATCAACATAAAAATTCAGTAACCTTTCTATACACTAACAATAAAGTATCTGAAAATAAAACCAAAAAACAATCCCATCTACAATAATTGCAGCAGTAACTATACTTAGAAATGAAAGTAAACAAAAAGGCGAAAGATCTGTACATTATTATCTAAAAAAAAAAGTTAGAAAATAAATAATATTCAGGCGGAGGAGCCAAGATGGCCGAATAGGAACAGCTCCGGTCTACAGCTCCCAGCATCAGCGACGCAGAAGTCGGGTGATTTCTGCATTTCCATCTGAGGTACCAGGTTCATCTCACTAGGGAGTGCCAGACAGTGGGTGCAGGTCAGTGGGTGTGCTCACCATACGCGAGCTGAAGCAGGGCGACGCATTGCCTCACTTGGGAAGCGCAAGGGGTAAGGGAGTTCCCTTTCCGAGTCAAAGAAAGAGTGACAGACGGCATCTGGAAAATCCGGTCACTCCCACCCGATTACTGCGCTTTTCCGACCGGCTTAAAAAACGGTGCACCACGAGATTATATCCCGCACCTGGCTTGGAGGGTCCTACACCCACGGAGTCTCGCTGATTGCTAGCACAACAGTCTGAGTTTAAACTGCAAGGCAGCAGCGAGGTTGTGGGACCGTCGCCCGCCATTGCCCAGGATTGCTTAGGTAAACAAAGCAGCTGAGAATCTCAAACTGGGTGGAACCCATCACAGCTCAAAGAGGCCTGCCTGCCTCTGTAGGCTCCACCTCTGGGGGCAGGGCACAGACAAACAAAAAGACAGCAGTAACCTCTGCAGACTTAAATGTCCCTGTCTGACAGCTTTGAAGAGAGCAGTGGTTCTCCCAGAATGCAGCTGGAGATCTGAGAACGGGCAGACTGCCTCCTCAAGTGGGTCCCTGACCTCTGACACCCGAGCAGCCTAACTGAGAGGCACCCCCCAGCGGGGGCACACTGACACCTCACACGGCAGGGTATTCGAACAGACCTGGAGCTGAGGGTCCTGTCTGGTAGAAGGAAAACTAACAGAAAGGACATCCACATCAAAAACCCATTTGTACATCACCATCATCAAAGACCAAAAGTAGATAAAACCACAAAGATGGGGAAAAAAGAGAACAGAAAAACTGGAAACTCTAAAAAGCAGAGCACCTCTCCTCCTCCAAAGGAACGCAGTTCCTCACCACCAACGGAACAAAGCTGGATGGAGAATGACTTTGACGAGGTGAGAGAAGAAGGCTTCAGATGATCAAATTACTCCGAGCTATGGGAGGATATTCAAACCAAAGGCAAAGAAGTTGAAAACTTTGAAAAAAATTTAGAAGAATGTAAAACTAGAATAACGAATACAGAGAAGTGCTTAAAGGAGCTGATGAAGCTGAAAACCAAGGCTCGAGAACTACGTGAAGAATGCAGAAGCCTCAGGAGCCGATGCAATCAACTGGAAGAAAGGGTATCAGCGATGGAAGATGAAATGAATGAAATGAAGTGAGAAGGGAAGTTTAGAGAAAAAAGAATAAAAAGAAATGAGAAAAGCCTCCAAGAAATATGGGACTATGTGAAAAGACCAAATCTAAGTCTGATTGGTGTACCTGAAAGTGATGGGGAGAATGAAACCAAGTTGGAAAACACTCTGCAAGATATTATCCAGGAGAACTTCCCCAATCTAGCAAGGCAGGCCAACGTTCAGATTCAGGAAATACAGAGAACACCACACTCCTCGAGAAGAGCAACTCCAAGACACATACTTGTCAGATTCACCAAAGTTGAAATGAAGGAAAAAATGTTAAGGGCAGCCAGAGAGAAAGGTCGGGTTACCCTCAAAGGGAAGCCCATCAGACTAACAGCGGATCTCTCGGCAGAAACCCTACAAGTCAGAAGGCAGTGGGGGCCAATATTCAATATTCTTAAAGAAAACAATTTTCAACAGAGAATTTCATATCCAGCCAAACTAAGCTTCATAAGTGAAGGAGAAATAAAATACTTTACAGACAAGCAAATGCTGAGAGATTTTGTCACCACCAGGCCTGCCCTAAAAGAGCTCCTGAAGGAAGCGCTAAACATGGAAAGGAACAACAGGTACCAGCCACTGCAATATCATGCCAAAATGTAAAGACCATCGAGACTAGGAAGAAACTACATCAACTAACGAGCAAAATAACGAGCTAACATCATAATGACAGGATCAAATTCACACATAACAATATTAACTTTAAATGTGAATGGATTAAATGCTCCAATTAAGAGACACAGACTGGCAAATTGGACAAAGAGTCAAGACCCATCAGTGTGCTGTATTCAGGAAACCCATCTCACGTGCAGAGACACACATAGGCTCAAAATAAAAGGAGGGAGGAAGATCTACCAAGCAAATGGAAAACAAAAAAAGGCAGGGGTTGCAATCCTAGTCTCTGGTAAAACAGACTTTAAACCAACAAAGATCAAAAGAGACAAAGAAGGCCATTACATAATGGTCAAGGGATCAATTCAAGAAGAAGAGCTAACTATCTTAAATATATATGCACACAATACAGGAGCACCCAGATTCATAAAGCAAGTCCTGAGTGACCTACAAAGAGATTTAGACTCCCACACATTAATAATGGGAGACTTTAACACCCCACTGTCAACATTAGACAGATCAACGAGACAGAAAGTCAACAAGGACACCCAGGAATTGAACTCAGCTCTGCACCAAGCGGACCTAATTGACATCTACAGAACTCTCCACCCCAAATCAACAGAATATACATGTTTTTCAGCACCACACCACACCTATTCCAAAATTGACCACATACTTGGAAGTAAAGCTCTCCTCAGCAAATGTAAAAGAACAGAAATTATAACAAAGTATCTCTCAGACCACAGTGCAATCAAACTAGAACTCAGGATTAAGAAACTCACTCAAAACCGCTCAACTACATGGAAAATGAACAACATGCTCCTGAATGACTACTGGGTACATAACGAAATGAAGGCAGAAATAAAGATGTTCTTTGAAACCAATGAGAACAAAGATACAACATACCAGAATTTCCGGGATGCAGTCAAAGCAGTGTGTAGAGGGAAATTTATAGCACTAAATGCCCACAAGAGAAAGCAGGAAAGATCCAAAATTGACACCCTAACATCACAATTAAAAGAACTAGAAAAACAAGAGCAAACACATTCAAAAGCTAGCAGAAGGCAAGAAATAACTAAAATCAGAGCAGAACTGAAGGAAATACAGACACAAAAAACCCTTCAAAAAATTAATGAATCCAGGAGCTGGTTTTTTGAAAGGATCAACAAAATTGATAGACCGCTAGCAAGACTAATAAAGAAAAAAAGAGAGAAGAATCAAATAGATGCAATAAAAACTGATAAAGGGGATATCACCACCGATCCCACAGAAATACAAACTACCATCACAGAATGCTACAATCACCTCTACACAAATAAACTAGAAAATCTAGAAGAAAGGGATAAATTCCTGGACACATACCCTCTCCCAAGACTAAACCAGGAAGAAGTTGAATCTCTGAATAGACCAATAACAGGATCTGAAATTGTGGCAATAATCAAAAGCTTACCAACCAAAAAGAGTCCAGGACCAGATGGATTCACAGCCGAATTCTACCAGAGGTACAAGGAGGAACTGGTACCATTCCTTCTGAAACTATTCCAATCAATAGAAAAAGAGGGAATCCTTCCTAACTCATTTTATGAGGCCAGCATCATTCTGATACCAAAGCCGGCCAGAGACACAACCAAAAAAGAGAATTTTAGACCAATATCCTTGATGAACACTGATGCAAAAATCCTCAATAAAATACCGGCAAAACGAATCAAGCAGCACATCAAAAAGCTTATCCACCATGATCAAGTGGGCTTCATCCCTGGGATGCAAGGCTGGTTCAATATACACAAATTAATAAATGTAAACCAGCATATAAACAGAACCAAAGACAAAAACCACATGATTATCTCAATAGATGCAGAAAAGGCCTTGACAAAATTCAACAACCCTTTATGCTAAAAACTCTCAATAAATTAGGTATTGATGGGACGTATTTCAAAATAATAAGAGCTATCTATGACAAACCCACAGCCAAGATCATAATGAATGGGCAAAAACTAGAAGCATTCCCTTTGAAAACTGGCACAAGACATTGATGCCCTCTATCACCACTCCTATTCAACATAGTGTTGGAAGTTCTGGCCAGGGCAATTACGCAGGAGAAGGAAACAAAGGGTATTCAATTAGGAAAAGAGGAAGTCAAATTGCCCCTGTTTGCAGACGACATCATTGTATATCTAGAAAACCCCATCGTCTCAGCCCAAAATCTCCTTAAGCTGATAAGAAACTTCAGCAAAGTCTCAGGATACAAAATCAATGTACAAAAATCACAAGCATTCTTATACACCAACAACAGACAAACAGAGAGCAAAATCATGAGTCAACTCCCATTCACAATTGCTTCAAAGAGAATAAAATACCTAGGAATCCAACTTAAAGGGGATGTGAAGGGCCTCTTCAAGGAGAACTACAAACCACTGCTCAAGGAAATAAAAGAGGATACAAACTAATGGAAGAACATTCCATGCTCATGGGTAGGAAGAATCAATATCGTGAAAATGGCCATACTGCCCAAGGTAATTTATAGATTCAATGCCATCCCCATCAAGCTACCAATGACTTTCTTCACAGAATTGGAAAAAACTACTTTAAAGTTCATATGGAACCAAAAAAGAGCCCACATCACCAAGTCAATCCTAAGCCAAAAGAACAAAGCTGGAGGCATGATGGTACCTGACTTCAAACTATACTACACGGCTACAGTAACCAAAACAGCACAGTACTGGTACCAAAACAGAGATATAGATCAATGGAACAGAACAGAGCCCTCAGAAATAACGCTGCATATCTACAACTATCTGATCTTTGACAAACCTGAGAAAAACAAGCAATGGGGAAAAGATTCCCTATTTAATAAATGGTGCTGGGAAAACTGGCTAGCCATATGTAGAGAGCTGAAACTGGATCCCTTCCTTACACCTTATACAAAAATCAATTCAAGATGGATTAAAGACTTAAATGTTAGACCTAAAACCATAAAAACCCTAGAAGAAAACCTAGGCATTACCATTCAGGACATAGGCATGGGCAAGGACTTCATGTCTAAAACACCAAAAGCAATGGCAACAAAAGACAAAATTGACAAATGGGATCTAATGAAACTAAAGAGCTTCTGCACAGCAAAAGAAACTACCATCAGAGTGAACAGGCAACCCACAAAATGGGAGAAAATTTTCACAACCTACTCATCTGACAAAGGGCTAATATCCAGAATCTACAATGAACTAAAACAAATTTACAAGAAAAAAACAAACAACCCCATCAAAATGTGGGCGAAGGACATGAACAGGCACTTCTCAAAAGAAGGCATTTATGCACCCAAAAAACCCATGAAAAAATGCTCATCATCACTGGCCATCACAGAAATGCAAATCAATACCACAATGAGATACCATCTCACACCAGTTGGAATGGCGATTATTAAAAAGTCAGGAAACAACAGGTGCTGGAGAGGATGTGGAGAAATAGGAACACTTTTACACTGTTGGTGGGTCTGGAAACTAGTTCAACCATTGTGGAAGTCAGTGTGGCGATTCCTCAGGGATCCAGAGCTGGAAATACCATTTGACCCAGCCATCCCATTACTGGATATATACCCAAAGGACTATAAATCATGCTGCTATAAAGACACATGCACACGTATGTTTATTGTGGCATTATTCACAATAGCACAGACTTGGAACCAAACCAAATGTCCAACAACGATAGACTGGATTAAGAAAATGTGGCACATATACACCATGGAATACTATGCAGCCATAAAAAATGATGAGTTCATGTCCTTTGTAGGGACATGGATGAAATTGGAAATCATCATTCTCAGTAAACTATTGCAAGAACAAAAAACCAAACACCGCATATTCTCAATCATAGGTGGGAATTGAACAATGAGATCACAAGGAAACAGGAAGGGGAATATCCCCCTCTGGGGACTGTTATGGGGTGGGGGTGGGGGGAGGGATAGCATTGGGAGATATACCTAATGCTAGATGACGAGTTAGTGGGTGCAGGGCACCAGCATGGCACATGTATACATATGTAACTAACCTGCACATTGTGCACATGTACACTAAAGCTTAAAGTAAAATAAAAAAAAAAAAAATCTAAAAAAAAACACGAAGATCTGGGAAAAAAAAGAAAATAAATGATATTCAAGCAAATAGATATTTCTAATTCATAAATGGGCATGATTATATTGTTAAATATCAGCATTACAAAAACTGATATACAGATATAATACAACTTCTATTAAAATACCAGTTAAATTCTTCACATAAATGTTTTTTAAAAATCTAAAATTGTATATAGCCCCACAAAAGGCCTTAATAGCTAAGAAAATCAAGCAAAAAATGAAAAATAAAATGCTGAAGGAATCACTCTACCTGACTTTTAAATGTCCAACAAAGCTACAGTAATCAAAACAGAGTGTTACTTACATAAAAATGGACACAAAGGCCAACAGAGCAAAAGGGAAAGATCAGAAATAAATTCATGTATTTACAGACAACTGATTTTAAATAAAGATAACAATTTTTTAAAAAAAAGAACAGTCTCTCTTATAAATGATGTTGAGAAAATATATATCCACATGCAAAATAATAAAATCAGACCTTCATCTCACACCATATATAAAAATTAACTCAAATTAGATACTTAAATATGAGACCTGAAAATCTAAAACTAGGATGAGGAAATAGAGAATGAATGCCCCATAACATTGGTCTGGGCAGTGACTCTTGGGTTTAACCTCAAAATTTTAGGGGGAAATAGACAAATTAGATTCCTTACAATTAAGAAACTGCTGCACACCAACAGATACAATCAGCAGAATGACATAACTGAAAAATGGAAGAAAATATTTGCAAATTACATATGTGAAAAGCAGTTAATATCAAAAATATATAAGAAACTCAAAGGACTATACAACAAAAAACAACCTGAAAAATAAGCAAAAGATCTATATAAATAATTTTCAAAGAAAGACATACATATAGCTTGGCAGATAGATGAATATGGCTCAAAGTCAATTATCATCAAGGAAAGGCAAACCAAAACAACTCTAAGATATAAACTCTCTCCTGTTAAAATGTTTAAAAAAATTGTTGGTAAACTTGAAAAAAGAGAAAGAGGGAGCTTTCACACTGTTTGTGTCAATGTAAATAAAAACAGCCATTATGAAAAATAGAAATTTTGCAAAACAATTGAACTCTAACATGTAATTGAACTACTGGATATCTATCACAACACAAATGAAACTAGATTGATGAACAGACATCTGCAATTCTGTTTGTTGCAGCATACTTTACAGAAGTGAAAACATAGAATCAACATATGTGTCCATCATCCAATGACGAAATACAGACACTATGGTATATATATACAATCGAATACTGTATTTTCAACAGAAAATGTTATTTTTAATCACAAAAATAAACCTAAAGGACACTATAGTTGTTGAAATAAGGCACAGAAAGTTTAATATCTCATGATTTCACTCACAAGTGGATTCTACAAAACGTATCTTGATTACATAATTATATTTGGATAAGAAAAATAAGTTAAAGAGATTATAATGCATGTATTGTATTTCTGAAAAAATGCTAAGACAGTAAATGTTGTCTTCTCACCACAAAAATAATAACTATGTGAGGCAAAGTATTTGACAATTACCTAAAATTAGACATTGACAATGTATATTTACTTCAAAATACTATTTCACAAAATAAATACATATGTCATCAGTGAATTTAAAAATATATTTATAAACACTATTAAAAATGACAACGTTTCAAATTCTGACCTGTGTTTTTTGTCATAAACCTGTCTAAATAGTATGAAAGATACAGTTTCTGTGCTGTTTTGTCACCTAGTCTGTCATGACCATATGAACTCTAATATTTACCACCATGTTCGGGACCCAGCACAGAGCATGGGAGAAGCCAATGTACCTTAGGGCTTTTATTTTGAGCTTGGGACAACTGGAGTTTCTGGTGCTGGTGGTAATGATAGGGAAGACACAAAAAGGGCAGCTCTTGCTGTGTTTCACATGATTAAACCACTCTGAGGAGAGTAAATAAGTTTGCATCCCAGATCACTGAAGAAATTTTTTAACTCAAAAGATGCCATGATCTTTAAAATTTTTCCAGATAAAATGACCAAAGAGTTGACTAGTTAGGTGACAAAGACGGAAACCTTTAAATTGTAAACTGTACCCAATAAAAAAGTACATTATACAAGTGTGAGAAATTCCTCAAGATTTTAACATTAATATGAAAAAGATTATTTCACAACTGAAATCCACAGGTGTCATTCTATTATTTTTGAATATTTAACATTCACACCAAAATAAAAGATTCTGAATGAAAACTTAAGTTGAGCTGTAAGTATGTAATAAAAAATTAAATTTAACATTCTCCACTTACCATTAACTCTTCTAAAAGTTTAATTTCTAAGACATATCTTCTAACTAATTTTATATTTTCCACACATTGTTAATTTTTTTTTTGAGATGAAGTCTAGCTCTGTCATCAGGCTGGAATGCAGTTGTGCAATCTCAGCTGACTGCAACCTCTGCCTCCTGGGTTCAAGTGATTCTCCTGCCTCAGCCTCCTGAATGGCTAGGTCAACAGGTGCATGCCACCATGCCCAGCTAATTTTTGTATTTTTAGTAGAGATGGGGTTTCACTATATTGGCCAGGAAGGTCTCAACTTCTTGACCTAGTGATTCTCCCACCTCAGCCTCCCAAAGTGCTGGGATTATAGTTGTGAGCCACCACACACAGACTGTGTTAAAATTTAATAAAAGTTTGGTTTTGCAAAGACAAGAAATTCTGACTGATTTATTCCTCTCACCTGTGAACACTGCATGCCTTTTATCTCAATTAACAGATCTGAAAGTTACATTGACAAACTTTCATCAGAACCTACAAAGTTCTGTGTGAAGTGACATGGCAAAAAACAAACAGCGAATAAAGATGTAGCCATAACACAAAGAATAAAAAGAAGGGCAGTGATGCATACACAGTTGGGATAAACATAAGTAGACACACAAAGAAAACTAAAGATAATCAGAAAATAAGCAGAATGTCTCTTTAAATTCAGAAAGAATCAATTTTGCAGCATAAGGACAGTGTCCTCTCCATATACAGAATCGATTTTATTTCTTCACCATGCTTGTTTCTTTATTTTTACTTGGAGCTACAAACTAACTCCAGCAGAAATATTTGTGGCCAATAATGGTGCATCTATTACACAGCAAGCATTGTGTTTGCTATATTTACATATCAAAACATCTTTATGACTTATGAAGCTTCCCCAGTATTTACCTAAACAAATTGGCTGAATGAATAAATTCACCTATGTCAATTATAAAGGGTAAAAGGAACAATAATAAAGGAAACGTAGCTTACACAGGTTTCTCCAATTAAAATAACAAAATGGGATGTTCTAACTAAATGAAATATAAGTTGGTCGGATGCAGTGTCTCATGTCTGTAATCCCAGAACCTTGGCAGGCCAAGGTGGGTGGACCACCAGGTCAGGAGTTCAAGGCCACTCTGGCCATTATAGTGAAACACAGTCTCTACTAAAAATACAAAAATGTTAGCTGGGCATGGTGGCACATGCCTGTAGTCCCAGCTACTTAGGAGGCTGAGGCAAGAGAATTGCTTGGGTCCAGCAGGCGGGGTTGTAGTGAGCTGAGATCCCACTACTGCACTCTAGCCTGGGTGACAGTGTGAGACACCATCTAAAAAAAAAAAAAAGAAAAAAGAAAGCAACAAAAGAAATATAAGTTAATACACACATTGTGAAATAACACTGAAAAATTATTTTGCATGCATTAGTAAATTTTATAAAAATTCTTAAAATACCTGAGCAACTCACATAATGAATACTTAATAAATTATAAACACAAAAAATATGAAAAAAAGTCAGTCTACCATGAGTACCAGGCACATGAAAGAAAGAATTTGCATGGAAAGATTCGGAAACGCAATCCATAAGACTTCACAGTAATGAATTAAATAAAATACAGAGAATACAGATATTATTCAAAATCACTGAGGTTTCTGGTCTTCTAATAAATGATTTGTCCACTTTATTAAAGTGATATTTTGTTCCAATATTTCTTGTCTTGCCCCACAAATTTCTTACACCTAATGTTTATCTTAAGAGTAAAATATTTGTATATTTAGAATCATGTAAGTAAAAAACTAACAGTCTGTATGAGTTTACAGGCAGATAGGCCACTTGTTCAAAATATATATGACCAATTTTTAAAAATATTCATTCAGGACTTAGAAACGTGAGATTTCTTATTATACTACTATGTAATTATTATTATGACCATAAAAAACCTCTGTAGCAAGTAATAATTTACTTGTACATTTTTAAATAACTAAAAATATTTAATTGGATTATCTGTAACACAAAAAAAGCATTACGTAATGAATACCTCATTTACTCTGATGTGATTACAAGTTGTATGCCTGTATGAAAATATTCTATATATGCCATAAATAGGTAAACAATACTATGTTCCTACAAAAATTTAAAATGTTAAACAAATGTACATTTTACCCATTGAAACAATACTCTTAAACTTTTCAGTTTAATGTCACAGGCAAAAGAGATTGCTAGAGAGGTCATTCTACTATGTTACCATCTTTTATCTACATCTTTAATAAGGTGGGACACGTTAAAGTTGGTGACATATGCAGGTCTTAAAAGGTTTAAAACTATTTCGTTTAATTTAAAAGCTAAGTTATCACAGTCTTATAAAAGAATTTTAAAATTCCCTACATTTTATTACATAAAAGTACAATTGGTAAAACAATTTACTACTAAAACTCAAAGTTTTCCTCTCACTATAATGCAGAATATTACTCTAAACACATAACTCATGTATCACATGAAAAATGTTAAAAGTCAGCCATAAAAGCCTCTCCAATTAGATTTTCAATATGCATCTTACATTTTAATATCCTTACTCTTCCACGGAAAAGTTAATGAATGATGCCTACCTAATAAGAAAGGAATCTCTCAGATTTCTGATGCAACAGAAATTGATGACATGCTTTTACACAAACAACAGGAAAAAAGGAACAGAATGAAGCAATTTTATAGTTGAATTACCTCACTATTTGCTTTTCAAAAAATCTACATTTTTTTCAAGGAAAAACGTATACCTTGAATGTAAGTATAACACTACAAAAAATAATCTTCCACTCCTCTTAAACTTATATACAAATAAATTATCCAACAGTTTTAGCTTTGGATTACTTTCTATACGGAACATTCTGATTTAGTGTAACATCTTAAGTGCCAGTGCCTTAATTCTTCCTACTGTGAATTTTCTAAAGTTTACGAAGACTTAATTTTGACTAAATATTTTTACACATGTATTCCATCTGCAAAAATATCTTTTATTATAAACTGCGTGGTGTTTTTAAGCTGTAGTTTCTGAACAAATGTTTTTCCACATTTATTACATTTGTATGTTTTCCTTCAACATAAATTCTCTGAGGCTGAACAAGTTTGAGTAATTCCTTTAGAGTTTTCTTCTAGCATAAAATCTGTACATTATATATGGCAAGTAAAGGTATTACAACCCTCTTTATATTTGTAATGTTTGTCTCCAGAGTACTCTTTTTTACTTTAAAGATTTAAATTTTCCAAGGTCTTTCAAAAGTAATTACATTTATAATAATTTTATTAAGTATGAACTTCCTGATGTTGACTATGATGTGAGCAAATAGAAATGGCTTTTCCACACTCTGTATAATTTTTCAAGTATAAACCCTTTTATGTGCCATAAGGTATGAGCATGTTAGAAGTTTTGACACATTCTTTGTTTGCAGAGATTTTCTCCACTATCAATTATTTTACCTACAGTAAGATATGACAACCATTTAAAGGCCTTGCCACATTGTTCAGTTTTCTGAGGTTTCTCACTGATATTTCTCCAATGCTTAGGAAAGTTTGAGGTGTATTCATAAGCTTTGCCAAACTTCTTTAGGTTCATAGGCATAATCTTTAGTATGAATTATGGCTGGATATATTTGAGCAATACTTAAAAGATTTTGCCACAGTCTTCCAATTTGTATGACTTCTTTCCAGTATGAATTCTCATGAGTTTAGTAAGGCTAAAGGACTGGTTAAAGTCTTTCCCACATTCTTTACATTTGTGGGATTTCTCTTCAGTATGAACTCTCTTATGTCGAGTAAACTTGATCAACAAGAAAAAGTTTTGCCACATTCTTGACATTTGTAGGGTATCTCTCCAGTATGTACTCTCTTATGTTTAGTAAAGCTTAAGGACCAGTAAAAGGCTTTGCGACATTCTTCACATTTCTGGATTCCTCTCCAGTATGAATTCTCTTATGTAAAGTGAGGCCTGAAGACTGCTTAAAAATCTTTGCCACATGATTCATATTTGTAGGTTTTCTCTCCAGTATGATTTCTCTTATGTTCATTCAGTTTTGAGTAGTGTTTAAAGACTCTGACACATTCTTTGCATTTATAGGGTTTCTCTTTAGTACGAATTCTCTGATGTATAGTAAGCTCAGAGGAGCACTTAAAAGCTTTGCCACATTCTTCACATTTGTACAGTTTCTCTTCAGTATGAACTATCATATGCTTAGTAAGGCTTGAGGAATAGTAAAAGTCTTTGCAACATTCTTCACATTTGTAGGATTCCTCTCCACTATGAGTTATCTTATGTTCTTTCAGTTTTGAGGATAGTTTAAAGACTTTGCCACATTCTTCATATCTGTAGGGTTTCTCTCCACTATGAATTATCTTATGTACATTCAGGTCTAAAGACTTCTTAAAAGCTTTGCCACATTCTTGACATTTGTAGTGTTTCTCTTCAGTATGAACTATGTCGTTTTGAATAAGGTTTGAGGAACAGTAAAAGGCTTTGCCACATTTTTCACAATTGTATGGTTTCTCTCCAGTATGAATTCTCTTATGTATAGTAAGATTTGAAGACCCTTAAAAGATTTGATGCATTCTTGACATTTGTAGTGCTTCTCTCCAGTATGAACTATCTTATGTTTAGTAAAGCTTAAGGACCAGTAAAAGGCTTTACCACATTCTTCACATTTGTAGGGTTTCTCTTCAGTATGAATTCTTTTTTGTATAGTAAGCCCCAAAGACCGCCTACAAGCTTTGCCACATTCTTCGCATTTGCAGGGTTTCTCTCCTGTATGAATTCTCTTGCGTATGGTAAGGTTTGAAGACCACTTAAAAGCTTTGCCACATTCTTGACATTTGTAGGGTTTCTCTCCCCTATGAATTATCATATGTTTAGTAAAGATTAAAAACCAATAAAAGGCTTTATCACATTCTTCGAATTTGTAAGGATTCTCTCCAGTATGAATTCTCTTATGTAGAGTAAGGCCTGAAGGTTGCATAAAAGTTTTGCCACATTCTTCACATTTGTAGGATTTCTCTCCGGTATGAGCTCTCATATATTCGTTCAGTTTTGAGGATTGTTTAAAGGCTTTGCCACATTCTTCACATTTGTAGGGTTTCTCTCCACTATGAATTCTCTGATGTATAGTAAGGTTCGAAGACCACTTAAAAATTTTGCCACAATCTTTACATTTGTAGGGTTTGTCTCCAGTATGAACTATGTTATGTTGAGTAAGGCCTGAGGAATAGTAAAAAGCTTTGACACATTCTTCACATTTATAGGGTTTCTCTCAAGTATGACTTCTTTTATGTTCTTTCAGTTTTGAGGATTTTCTAAAGGCTTTGCCAAATTCATCACATTTGTAGGGATGCTCTCCCATATGAATAATCTTATGTATAGTCGGGTTTGAAGACTACTTCAAAACTTTGCCACTTTCTTCACTTTTGTAGGTTGCATCTCCAGTATAAATTTTCTTATGTTTATTCAGTTTTGAAGATTGTTTAAAGGCTTTGTCACATTCTTCACACTTGTAGGGTCTCTCTTTAGTATGAATTCTCTCATGTATAGTAAGATCTGAAGACTGCTTAAAATCTTTGCCACATTCTTCACATTGGTAGGGGTTCTCTTCAGTATGAATTATCTGATGTTGTCTTAGGCGTGAGAACCTGTGAAAGAATTGGCCACATTCTTTACATTTGAAAGGTTTCTCTCCAGTATGTCTTCTCCTAGGTCTATTTGAATTTGAAAATTTCCTAAAGACTTTCACACATGTATTACATTGAAGTATTTTGCTCTGAGTAATCGACAAACATTGGTTAAGTCCATTATAACCTCCTTCCTGCACCTTAGATGCATTCAAACTTTTACAGCCTTTTCTTATTTGTAAATTCTCATGTCTGCATTTCCCATATCTTCTCAGCATCACTTTTTGAAATGAATTTTTTGTGTTCTGATCTAGCCAAAGGTCTTGGGTGAAATGAGAACACAGCTGAAAGAAATAAAAATAACAAATTATCTCACTAGGCCCATGTAAATATACAAATCTATTGTTTACAAATCTAATACATAAAATTAAACAAAGTACATTAGCAACATGGCATAAGAAAAATACCACAGGTCTTAATTCTTTTATAGACTTATAACAAAACTGTCCTGACCAAAATGTGTTTATGGAAAATCTAGAAATGAGTTCAGTGTGTTCAGTGTACCAGGTGAGCAAAATGCCACAAGCCATACTGAATGGATAGAAAAGTTTGTTACATTTGCCCAACACCTTTCTTCCTCCATAATGCAGCATGGCACTTTTAGAAGTAAATTGCAAGGCCTGCCATCTTCCTCAATATAGAAAAAGAAAAAACTGGCTCATGTATTTTTACTTCTGGCTTCTGGGCACTTTTACAGAGACTTGTTTCTGTCTCCAATGACAAAATGTGCTGAAAGAAATGATGGTATACTTTGAAATAACAGCTTGAGTCTGCTGAGACCAAAGGTAAATGTTACAGACACAAACTACAGTACCACAGACATGCAATATGTATAGGAAGTAATTACAGACTGTTAAGAAACACAGACAAACCCCTTTAACTGAATAATCAACACAAAATTCCACACAAGACACATCATAACAAATTTGATAAGCTCCCAGAATCTCTAGTTGAGACAGCTGGTTTCAGATTATGTTAGGACAACACTGCATTATAAAGATTGTGAGAGGTAGCTGTTTGTTAATGTCCAAATCTCAACCAAAGAGTACAATACATACAAAATATTACAGTGACATGGCCTAAGTAGAAAAAAAAACTTAAAACTGTCAGAAAACAACCATGAAAATAAAGATGTACACATTAATTTTAAAAATTTAACCTAAATGGGAACACAGGTAACTAAATAAAATTAAAAAAAAAATAGAATATCAAGGAAAAGATGAAAAATATAATAGAGATTATGGAAGTAGAAAATAGAAATAGAAATAATGACTGAGGCCAGGTGTAGTGGCTCATGTCTGTAGTCCCAGCACTTTGGGAGTTTGAGGCAGGCAGATCACTTGAACCTAGGGATTTCAAGTTTAAACCGGGAAACATGGCAATATTTCTTCTCTATAAAAATTAAAATTAGTCAGGTGTATTGGCACACACCTGTGGTCCCAGTAAACATGAGGCTGAGGTAGGAGGATCACATAAGCCTAGAGAATCCAAGGCTGCAGTAAGCTGCAATCATGCCACTGTACTCAAACCTGGGTGACAGAGCAAGACACTGTCTCAAAAAATTAAGAATACCTGAGAAATTCTCAAAAGTAAGAAAATAAGGTTGTAAAAATGAAGAAGCTCAACATACTAAAACTAGGAAACACACAGATCCATAACAAGACCTGTAAAGCAAAGTTCCCAAAGTCACAGGCAAGAAGAGAATCTCAAATGCTGGAAAATACATAATTATGGTTCTATGATATAACCAGTGACTCTTTCAACAAAAACCTTGCAGGCCAGAAGGAAATTGTGTGCTATAGCCAAGGTGCCAAATGAAAAATAGCTTCTATGTAAGAATAATATAACCAGCAAAACTGTGCTACAAACATGAAGAAAAAGGAAAGACTTCTAAAGATAATCAAATGTGGAAAAATTATATCAACACTACATGTGCCCTACAAAAAATGCTGAGAAGAGTCCTCCTACTAAAACTATACGATGCTAAAAAACAAAACTATCATATACAAATAGGTAGCTTTCTAGGAAAGATATAAAGATATGCAAATATTATAGAAAAAATATCCTGTAGCATTACTATAATACCAGAAAATGTTTTATTTAATTATTCTCTAAAATTAAAAGATAAAAGCTAAAAATAATAATGAACATCTGTTAATAAATATATAATATAAATAGATATGTTTAGTGACATCAATAACTAAGTTGAGGACAGATGTAATAAGAAATAATTTGTGCAGGAACCCGAATTTAAATTTCACCACTTCAAAATATATTGTTCAAATTTTAAGAAGTTTTTATATAATCCTGAAGGTGCCCACAAAGAAAATGTCTGTATAGGTACAAAAAAGAAAATAAGAAAGGAGTGACAGCCTATCCCTACAAAAATCAAAAAGACACAAAGGAAGATAGAATGAGAAACAGACCTACAAGAATCATTAAACAATAAAATAACAATAATCTTTGTCTTCAGAAAATAAATATTTTAAAAATAGACTTGCCAATCAATATACATACATTGAATAGAAGGATTATATAAAATTTTATATACCAAGATCCAACTTGCCTTTCTTCAAGAGTCACTTGAGATCTAGTAGCGAAATCAGCCTGAAAGTGGCAAGTGGAAGAAGACATTTTAGGCAAACATTAACCAAATGACAGCAGAAGAGATCAAAATTGTATCATACAAAATACATCGTAAGTCAATCTCTTATTTTATAAAATATACTTTATCTCAAAATTCACAAGAGAAAAAAGGTCATTAAACAATAATAAAGATATCATTTATTGAAAATGTATGACAAATATGTACATACATATATTTATATGTTTGTGTGTGTATGTGTATTTCTCACATTAGGTTTCCAAAAATACAAAGCAAAAATTGAAAGAATTAAAGCAACAAATAGAGAGCAATATAATTATAATAAGATATTTTAAAATTTCAATTTCTGCAATGAACAATAAAACAAGCAATATTAATAATGGAAAAGAGGGCCAGGTACAGTGGCTCATGCCTGTAATCCCAGCACTTTGGGAGGCCAAGGCAGGCAATCACGGGTTCAGGAGATGGAGACCATCATGGCTAACATGATGAAATCCGGTCTCTACTAAAAATACAAAAAATTAGCAGGGCGTGGTGCCAGGTGCCTGTAATCCCAGGTACTCAGGAGGCTGAAGCAGGAGAATGGCATGAACCCAGGAGGCGGAGCTTGCAATGAGACGAGATCGCACCACTGTACTCCAGCCTGGGTGGGAGCAAGACTCTGTCTCAAAAAAAAAAAAAAAAAGGAAAAGAGAAACTGAAAGCAGTACAGATGGGAACAAGTGGCTCATGCTTGTAATTCCAGCACTTTGGGAGGCCAAGGAAGACAGATTACCTGAGGTAAGGAGTTTGAGACCAGCCTGGCCAACATGGCAAAACCTCATCTCTACTAAAAATAACCAGGTGCGGTAGCAGGTGCCTGTAATCCCAGCTACTCAGGAGGCTAAGGCAGGAGAATTGCTTGAACCAGGGAGGCGGGGTTTGCAGTGAGTCGAGATTGCGGCACTGCAATCCAGCCTCAGCGACAGAGCAAGACTCCATCTCAAAAAGAAAAAAAATATACAAAGAAAGAAGTATAAAACAATATTATGCCTAACAAAGAACACCCCTTAAAAATAGCAGGGTACAACCATTCTCAGTAGCTCACATACATTCTCTTTGATAAACTGCCTGTTAGGCCATGATAAAAATAAAAACTTACTAAATCTTTAAAAATTGAAATTGATAGATTACTTTTTATGACCAAAATGGAATGAGAGTAGAAATCAACAAAAACAGAACTAAAAAATTTACAAATACATGAAAATTAAACAACACACTCTTCAGCATGCTCAAAGGGTAAAATAATTAATATTCAGCATGATCGAAGGGTAAAATAATTAATATTGTGAAGATGCCCATACTGCTCAGTGTAATCTACAGATTTAATGCAATCCCTTTCAAATATCTAATTTTATTTTAGCAGAAATAGAAAAAGCAACCCCCAAATTATATGAAATTTTAAGAAACAATGAAACACCCAATAATCCTCAAAGAGAGGAACAATGTTGGAGGCATCACAACTCCCTGATTTCAAAACACATTATATAGACTTAAAACCATTTGGTTTGGTTATAAAAAGTGAACTAGACCAAATAAAGAGAATGTAGTATAAATATAAACTCTCACACATATAATCACAGGAAGAGTTATTTGCACATCTATAATTTTTTTTTTAGATGGAGACTTGCTCTGTTGCCCAGGTTGGAGTGCAGTGGCACAATCTAGGCTCACTGCAACCTCTGCCTCCCAGGTTCATGCCATTCTCCTGCCTCAGCCTCCCAAGTAGCTGGGACTGTAGGTGTCCGCCACCACGCTTGGCTAATTTTTTGGTATTTTTAGTGGAGATGGGGTTTCACCATGTTAGCCAGGATGGTCTCGATCTCCTGACTTTATGATCCACCCACCTTGGCCTCCCAAAGTGCTGTGATTACAGGCACGAGCCACCGCGCCTGGCTGCACATCCATAATTTTTACAGCATTGTTATTGACAGGCAATAGGTGAAAGCAATGCATATTTTTCTTGCCAGACTACTGGATAAATATAATTTGAAACATAAAAATAATGGAATATTACTCAGTGTTTAAAAACAGGAAATACAAGCCAGGCACACTGGTTCACACCTGTAATCCCAGCACACTGGGAGGCCGAGGTGGGTGAATCACCTGAGTTTGGGAATTCGAGACCAGCCTCACCAACATGGAAAAACCCCATCTCTACTTACAAAAATTAGCCAGGCATGGTGGTGCACGCCTGTAATCCCAGCCTCCTCTCAGGAGGCTGAGGAAGGAGAATGGCTTGAACTTGGGAGGTGGAGATTGTGGTGTGCTGAGATCGCTGCACTGCACTCCAGCCTGGGCAACAAGGGCGAAACTCCGTCTAAAAAAAAAGGAAATATTCTAACAACCATAACAAACTTTCATGAAATTATGCAGAATAACATATGTCAGCCACAAAAAATGCTGTATGAATCCACTTACATGAGATATTTAAAGCAGTTAGACTCAAAAACAGCAAAACAGAATTGTTTGTAAAGGGCCAGAAAATGGGAGAAATGAGTAGTTGTTTAATGTGTATTCAGTTTTAGTTTTGTGAGACAAAAACATTCTAGAGATATATTATATAATAATGTCAATATAATTAATATACACTACATATTTTAACATTAAGATTCTAAATTTTATGTTCTTGATAATTAAAAATAAACAGTAATGATACCTAAAAAAGGACAAAATTGACAGTTTTTAAAATTACCTTCAAATCAAAAAAGTGTTTCTCCCACACCAAAATAGATTCCTAAATAGATATTAGAAGTAGGAGAATTTTTATGATTACACAGATAAAATGACCATTGATCACTCACAAACATACAAGTCATAAACAATACAGAAATAATATGTGTATACACAAACACAGAAATTATTATATTGGGAATAGACATATGACTGATTCATATGTAACTTTGGCTCCATGCTGTCTTAAAGTGTACAGAGTTGAATACTGTCATTCACAATTGTCATACAAAATAAAAAACTAAAAACACAATTATCTGATGTGACGTGGCATACTCTAAAATATGAAACAAAAAAGAAATAAAATTGGCTGGGCATGGTGGCTCAAGCCTGTAATCCCAGCACTTTGGGAGGCTGAGGCAGGCGGATCACGAGGTCAGGAGATCGACACCATCCTGACTAACACGGTGAAACCCCATCTCTACTAAAAAATACAAAAAAATTAGCTGGGCATGGTGACGGGCACCTGTAGTCCCAGCTACTAGGGAGGCTGAGGCAGGAGAATGGCGTGAACCTGGGAGGCGGAGCTTGCAGTGAGCCGAGATTGTGCCACTGCACTCCAGTCTGGGCGACAGAGCAAGACTCTGTCTCAAGAAAAATGAAATAAAATAAAGTAAAATGAAATAAAATTGCAAAACAAAATGAAAACATGGAATGTTAAACTTACTGAACACCATTAAGTAGATTACTACATTTGGAAAAGAAATCTTAGAAGATGAATGTAGGGAAAAAGTAGTAGAGGGGTTATTTGAAGATAAAAGAGGATGAGAATTTTCCAAATTTTTATGTGATAAAAGAAAAACTAATACCAATCAATACTGTTTGCTTTGAAATTATTTGGAATTATTCTGGAACTAAAAATAAGGAAACAATAAAGAACTTACAAAATAAACAAAATGTGAAGGCATTTCTCATCACCGGCATGGTCCCACAAGAAATGCTACATGGTGGCCAGGCACCAGTGGCTCATGTCTGTAATCCCAGAGTCTTGGGAGGCCAAGGCAGGCAGATTAGTTGAGGCTAAGAGTTCAAGATGAGCCTGAGTAACATAGTGAGATGCTGTTTTTTTTTTTTTTTTTGCCAAAAAGTGTCCATATGTTGAAAAATATAATGGTGCTGAACAGCCTTAAAAAACTACATGAAACTATAAAGCTTTCTGTTAAATGTAAATATATAAACACATATACAATGGTTTATTACCATAATCATGAAGCAAAATCTCTTAAAATTCTACTATAGAATTTCAACAAAAAAATCTGCATAAATCTGTTAATAGATACACAATATAAAATAATATTTGTAATAATAAAAAAACTACAGGATGTAAGCCTGGGCACAATGGCTCATGCCTGTAATCCCAGCACTTTGGGAGGCCAAGATAGGTGGATCATGAAGTCAGGAGTTCAAGACCAGCTTGGCTAAGATGGTGAAACCCCGTCTCTACTAAAAATATGAAAAATTAACCAGTCGTGGGGATGGGTGCCTGTAATCTCAGCTACTTGGGAGGCTGAGGCAGAGCATTGCTTGAACCTGTGAGGCGGAGGTTGCAGTGAGCCGAGATCACACCACTGTACTCCAGCCTGTGTGACAGAGCAAGTCTCCGTCTCAAAAACAAAACAAAACAAACAAACAAAAAAACACTACGGCATGTAAAGAGGTATAGTTTTTGTATTCAACTGAAGTTATGACATACTAATATTGTTATAACTTTAAAATGTTTTACATAATCTCCAATTACCTAGATAATTACAAGTTTATAGAAAGTATGCAATACAAAATGAGAAAGGAAACAAAGCATAACACTACAAAATCAAAAAAGCAAAAATTAAGACAGTAAAATAGGAAATTATGGAAAACATCTCTACAAGAAACACAGAAAATAATAACAATCAAAATGGTAATAGTAGCTTCATTTCTCTAAGGAATCATTTTAAATGTAAATTGATTAAACTAATAATAAGAAATTAAATGGATGAATGGAATAAGAACAAACAAAATCACACAATATGCAACAAATCACACAATATTCTTGTTTGAACTTGGTGTACTCTGTTAGGACACATAACAAGCCTTATTAAGTTTAAGAAGACTAATCAGGTATGGTGGCTCACGTCTGTAGCCCCAGCACTTTGAGAGGCCAGGACTGGAAGATTGCTTGAGACCAGGATTTCAAGAGACTCACTTTAACTTTGATTCAAATAGGTTGAAAGAAACAGAATGAAAAAACATATTCCATGCAAACAGTATCCACAATTAAGTGAGGTGGTCATAATTATATTAGACAAAATACGCTGTAAATCAAAAACTAACATGAGGTAAAGATTGTTACTATATAATGGTAACATTGGTCATTTACCAGGAATCTATAACTATTATATCTATTTAAAAGATCAGGGTTCCAAAATGTATAAAGCTAATATTGACAGAAGTGAAGCAAAAAACACATAGCAACATAATAATTACAGACATTAAGACCCCACTTTAATAATAAGTGAAAGGTTAGATAAAACATCAATAAGAGAACAAAACCTGGATGACATTATAAATTATATTAATTCATTTTGTATTGCAATAAGTACCTAAGACTGTGTAATTTATAAAGAAAAAAGATTTATTTTCTTCATAGTTATGCACAATGCACAAGTGTGGTGCCAGCATCTGCATCTGGTGAAGGTCTAAGTAAGCTTACAATCATGGTGAAGGCACAGAGAAACCAGACATATTGCATAGGGAGAGAGGGAGCAAGCATGAAAAGAAAGTGCCAGGTTCTTTAAACACGCAGCTCTCATGTGAATTAACAGAGTGAGAACTCATTGGTCACCAAGGGGATGGTGTGAAGTCATTTACAAGAGATTTGCTCCCATGACCCAAACACACCACACAAGGATCCACATCCTACATTGGGAATCCCATTTCAACATGAGATTTGAAGGGTACAAACATCCAAATCATATCATAGACCAACTACACATTAAAAATATGTACAGGACTCTCCAGTAAAAAGGAACAGATTACACAATATTCTTGTTTGAGCTTGGTGCATTCTGTTAGGACACATAACAAGTCTTATTAAGTTTAAGAAGACCAGCCAGGTGTGGTAGCACATGCCTGTAGCCCCCAGCACTTTGGGAGGAAAGACCACTTGAGACTAGGATTTCAAAACCAGCCTGGGCAATATAGTGAGAACCCGCATTTCTACAAAAAATAAAAAAACTAGCCAGGCATGAAAGCACACGTATGTAGTCCCAACTATTTAGGATGCTGAGGTGGGAGGATTATTTGAGCCTCGGAGGTTGAGGCTGCAGTGAGCCAAGACTGTACCACTGCATTCCAGCCTGAGTGGCACAGAGAGAATCTGTCTCTCAATAGCAACAAAAATAAATAAATAAATTTAAGATGACCAAACTTTTACAGTTACGTTTTCTGACTAAAATAAAATGAAAGGACATCAAAATCAAGAGATAAACTGGCAAATTCAAAAATACATGGAAATAAAACACACTCTTTAATATATTCTTGCTCAAGGTCCAGATAATTTAATCTAAATGTGAAAACAACTCACGGTGATGAAGAAATTCCAATGGTACATTGTTGACCAGAAATATTGTTTAAAACTTTTTAAATTGATTATGAGCTAAAACTAGCCAAACAACCATTAGAAAGAACAAAGAGGCATTGTATTCCCTGATTTCAAAATATATTAAAAAGCTATAATAAACAAAAGCAATGTGGTACTAACAGAGACAAATAAACAGATGATAGAACAAAATAGCCCAGAAATGAACCCTTCTTTATATAATCAAATAATCTTCCACAAAGTTGCCATGACTACACAATAGAGAAAAGAAAAATCTCTTCAACAAATGATGTTAAAAACTGAGTATCTACACTGAAAAAAATAAAGTTGGATTATTTTCTTCCACATTTTAAGTAAAATAATGAAACTAAAAAACATATAACTAATACAACTCTTAGAAGAAAAAATAGGGAAAATACAGAACACTGGTTTTGGCAATTTTTTGTAGATATGACATCATACTTATGAAAAACATAAAAACCCCCAAAATTTAACTATGCTAAACTTCAAGTTTTCTGCACACCAAAGAAAATATTTAGTAGAATGACAATGCCACTGAAGAAATGGGTGAAAATATTCACAAATTACATGTGATGAGTTAATATTCAGAATTATAAACAACTAAAATTGAACAACTAACATTGAATAAATTGATTTAGAAATGCACAAAGAATAGAACTGATGTTTAATAAAAAATATATATGTAAGTAGAAAAAAGCACTTAAAATAATGCAAAAAAAGTACCAATTGTAGAGAAATACAAAACAAAATTACAATCCAAAACAAAACCACCTCATACCCATTAGAATGGCCATGATAAATTTTTAAAATGCCAAATCTGTTGAGGATGTAAAGAAATTAAAACTCTTGTGAATGGTTGGTGGGGGAAAAAAGGATGCAACCATCATATTATGAATGTTTCTTAAAAATTAAATTACATAATTCAGGAATTCCATTTATAAACCTATATTCAAATATAAATCATATTATTTGATTGGAATATAAAATATATTTTTATATATTAATATATTTATAAATTGAATCCAAGAATTCCACTTATAAATCTATATTCAAACATAAATATAAATGTATATTCCAAATACAAATCTATATTCAAACAAAGAACCTGGAAGATATACTTGAATATATATTTGAAATATTGGTATAATAAATATATGATACCAATATTTATATATTTAATATATATTAATATAATACATATTAACTATATTATACCAATATTTATATATTTTATATATACTAATATAATATATATTAAATAAATAAATATATATTATATAAATAAATATATATTTAATATATATGTTAAATATATAAATATTGGTATCATATATTTATTATACCAATATATTATATAAATATATACACATATATTTATATATATACTATATATATAAATATACCAATATTTACAAAAACCAGAAGGCAGAAGTAACCCAGATATCCCTTGACTGATAAACAAATTAAAAATGTGACATATACATACAGTGTAATATTATTAAGCCTTAAAATAGTAAATCTGTCACATTCTTAAATAAATGTTGAGAATATTATGTCAACTGAAATAAGATAGTAATAAAGTGACAGATACTATATGATTCCATGATATGAGTCATCATAAGTAGTGAAATAGAAACAGAAAAGAGAATGGTGTTACTCAAGGTCTAAAGAGAGGGTAAAATGGGCAGTTGTTACTTAATGGGTATTGTTTTAATTTTAGAAGACGTAAAAGTTCTAGAGGTCTTTACATAACAATGTAAATACTCTTAACAACTACAATGTACAACTTTTTTGAGGTAGGTTCTCACTCTGTCTTGCAGGCTAGAATGAAGTCACATAATCATAGCTCACTGCAGCCTCAACCTCCCATGCACAAGTGATTCTCCTGCCACGGCCTCACAAGGAGCTAGGACCACAGGTGGACAACCCAACACCTGGCTAATTTTAAATTTTTGTGGGGAAGGGCTCTTTATATGCTGCACAGGCTGGTCTCAAGTTCCTCGGTTTAAGCAATACTTCTGCCTCAGTTTCCCAAAGTGCGGGCATTATAGGCATGAGCCTCCACCACACTCAGCTCTGAAATATAGACTTAAAAAGATTTAAGATGGTAAATTTTATGTTATGTGTTTTCACAATTTTTTTTGAAAACAACTACAAGTTATATAGGTCTTTCTATAAATCACAAAATATATAAATATAAATCACCATCAAATCACTAAAGTGTTTCTCTCACAGAAAGAAAATATATATATTTATCATTAAACACCTGGTGAATATACCACTGTTTCTATGACTACCCACCTTCACATAATAAGACAACTATTGAAAATCAGCCAAGAAGGCTGGGCATGGTGGCTCACTCCTGTAATCTCAGAACTTTGGGAGGCCGAGACAGGTGGATCACCTGAGGTCAGGAGGTAGAGATCACCCTGGCCCATATGGTGAAACCCCATCTCTACTAAAAATACAAAAAAATTAGCTGGGCATGGTGACAGGCACCTATAATCCCAGCTACTCAGGAGGCCAAGGCAGGAGAATTGCTTGAACCTGAGAAGCGGAGGTTGCAATGAGCAAAGATTGTGCCACTGCACTCCAGCTGGGCCTCTACTGTGGCCTGCAGACCTTGGCCTCTACTGTGGCCCCTAAAGGAGTTCAGTGACTCAGTTTCAGCTGTCTTTGCCACAGTTCACAACAATTCCTGCCAACACAGGAACCCACACAGTGATGTGGAAAAAATCTTTCAAATACTCAGTGGTAGCCACACTTACCACATCCCGATATAAGGTCCACCATATGCACACCCAATTGCAGAAATCTGTCCTAATTTCTGCACTATAAATAAAAGTCCTGAAGGAAATCCAGCCCACCCAGACATTAGATGGGAATCACAACAACCAAAGCCCCTGGTAAAAAGCCACTTGAAAGTTGAATCCACTGCATACCCAGCAGCCTTGTGACAAAGTTATAAACTCTTCCCTACTACAAGCTCATAGGGCATCCCATTACCCTGGGGACCCATTACCCTGGGGACCCAACAAAAGGAGATCTGTACCTCCTGAAACCAGTTTATAAAAAATTAAAGAGCTGTTTGCTTCTTCAAATTTATAGACACCGGGGTAAGGCTACATGGTTCCATTGTAAATGTTTCTATTTTAACATAGCAGTGAAAGTACTTTGCAGAAGAATTAGTCAAGAAAATGACCCTAAAAATGACATTCAAATTGAGGAAAAGAATTAAAATGTTGCTGTTTGTAGGTGACATGATCTTATATATAGAAAACCATAAACAATACATCAAAAACTAACAAATGCCCTCAGAAAATTAGCAATATATAAAATTAACATATAATTATCAGTTATGATTCTATATGCTAACAACAAACCATCTGATAAAAAAGGAAGAAAACAATCTTATTTCCAATAGAATTAAAATAATAAATTTCTGAAAAATGAATTTAACAAAGGAGGCAAAATGTCTTTACACTGAAACATATTGTGAAAGAAATGGAAGAAGTCACAAATAAACGCAAAAAGATTTCATGTTTATGAACTGGAAGAATAAATATTATAAAGTGCCATATGAGTCAAAGTGATCTACAGTTTCAATGAACTCTCTATTAAAAATCCAGCGACATTTTTCACGGTAATGGAAACTACAATTCTAAAATTTGCATGAAAGTACAATAGGCTTTGAAAAACCAAAGCAATCTAGAGGAAAAGGAACAAAGCAACCAAACTTCATACTTTATGATTTCAAACTATATTTTAAGATTGTAGTACATGCAAAATATGGACACAAGAAAACAAAGAAACAGAATAGAGCCCAGAAACAAACCCAGGAATATAAAGTTTACTAATCTTTGACAAGTGCACCAGAAATACACAATGAACAATGTATAGTCTTTTTAATATTTGGTTCTGAAAAAACTGGATACCTCCAGGCAAAAGAATAAAATTAACTTATTTTTCTTACACCATGCTAAAAGTTAAATTACAGACTTAAATATGAATCCTTAAAAAATCTGAAAGAAAAATACATGGAAAATCCTCATGATATGGTCTTAACAATAATTTGTTAGACATAATACCAAAAGTACAGCAACGAAAGCAAATATAAACAAGCTGGACTGCATCAAACTAAAAACCTTCTGCACAGAAAAGGGAAGAATAAAATAAAAAAATTTGTAGCATGGGAAAAAATATTTGCAAACCATACATCTGATAAAAGATTGATATACAAAATATATAAGAAATGCAAGCAGATTAAAAGGAAAAACAACAGTAACCCAGTTCAAAATAGGCAAAAAACTAAACTGATATTTGTCCAATGAAGACATACAAATGGCCAACAGATAAGCCATAAAGTACTCAATATCACCAAATATCAGGCAATTGCAAATCAAAACCATGATGAGTATCATTTCAAACATGTTAGAATGGATAATATAAAAAGAAGAAACATAACAAGTGTTGACAACACTTTGAAGAAAAAAAATTCTGTACATTCTTGGAGAGTTATAAATTGATGGAGTCATTACAAAAACCAATAGAGGTTATCTGAAATACAGAACTACTACACAACCTAGCAATAGTAGTATTGTGTATATAATACTGTTTATATAACAAAAGGAAATGAAATAAGTAACTTGAAGACATATCTGTACCACCATATTTGTTGCAGCATTATTCACAATTGCCAAGATACAAAAAAACTAAATGTTTGTGGATGCTGAATAAAGAAAAGCTGGTGTAAATAAACAATAGAATATCATTTAGCTTGAAAAATAACAAAATCTTGCCATTTCAACAACATGGGTAGAACTAGAAGACATTATGCCAAGGGAAATAAGCCAGACACAGAAAGAGAAATACTGCACATTCTCACTTATATGGGGAATCTAAGAAAGCTGAACTCACAGAAGCAGAGACTACAATGGAAGTTGTCAGGGACTGGATATGGGAGAAAATGAAAAGATGTTGAAAAGACACAAATTTTCTTTTATGAGTAAGTTTTTCAAATGTAATATATAGCTTCATGATACAGTTAACACTAAATTTTTGTATGCTTAAAATTTGATGTCAGCAGATCTCAGATATTTTCATTACAAGAAAGGTACCTATGTGAGGAAAGGTGATAGAAATGCTCATAAACATAATTGTGTTCATCATTTTACAATCTACACATGCAGTAAGTCATTACGTTGTACACAATAAATATATATAGAATTTTTATTTGTAAAAAAATCCACAATACACACCTACATATATGTACACACATATAAATTACAGTTCTGGTAGACTTTATCCTAAACAAGATAAAATTACAAAATAGTAATTTAAAAAACAAGGAAAGAAGTGGGAGCTTAACATATGCTCAGTAATGTTCTAAGTTCCCTGACATAGTGAATTGAAGAAATGTAGGAAATATCTACGTTATATTACAGTTGAGAAATTAAGACAGAATTGAAATTACTAACCTCAGTTAGTACTACAAGAATAAAAATTTCAATTCAAATAACATTAGATATTCTTAAAGAGATACTTAATATTCTGATTAAATTACCGAGCATGAATTTCTGTAGAAACACATTTGAAACCTCCATAAAATAAGAAACTATGAAGCAGAAAACATACAACATATGTTTGTTGTATTTCTGGGATTTCTGAACCAAGTCTCAATATCACTACTTTTACATATTTCAGACACAATGCAGAAAGAGAACTTAAAAATGGTTAAACACAGGGTTTCTAAAAAATATGCAGCTATTTGTATATCCCCAAAAGCAATAAAAGTAGTCAGATTGTGCACTCTTTTATAAGCCATAAAGAGAACTTTGGCTCTCACTGCAAATCTGAAGAAAAATTATTGAAGAAAATGTAGAGTCATTAGAGAGCATGAGACAGAGGATGTCCCTATGTGAGAACAAGTGAAAAAACCCAGTCTTCTCAGAAACGATTTCCACTGGAGCACAGCTTCCCAAATCACATGTAAAAGTCCGGGTTCCTCTCGGCCTTTGGATGTCTCATCTATGTCATCCTCTTCTTCATTGGCTTTCACCCACCTGGGTGCTTCATACTCCATGGCTTTTTCCTTTGCTCCAGACAGGTGACCAAGTCTGGCTTAGAGAAGACAATACTTGTTTTATTTTAAAAAGCAGCATGAGCATGACTTTTCCTGGAATTCTCCATTTACCAACCTAATACTGTTCTAAGTAGAGAAAAGAGGACATAATAGAAGATTCTAGAAAATTAATTCCAAAATACTTTTTACTGACAGAACCTTTAGCGTATTCAGAAAGTACATTAAATATGTGGGTCCTCCGTTTCACTCCCCAGTATTACTGAATCAAAAATTGGTGGTGGCAATTGAATTTTAAGGTGTGGACAACATTATTTTATGCTGCTAAATTTCTGAAATTACCACTTATCTAGGGTGAATAATATAGATAAACTCAGGAAAGGGGAAAATTCAGGTCAAAATGAAACGACCTGAAGAATTTATTTTCCACACCAAAAAATCCTCAAGATTGTCTTGAAAACAGGGATCTGAAATTTACTCATGCAAAGCAGAAATTACCAAAACACATCCTACAAAGGAAGAAAATGAAACCTTTAGGGTAAATTAGGAATTCTATATTGAAGTTATCCTCAACCAAGAAGACCGGGTTTCTGTAGTTCTGTAACATCACATCCATATACAAATTCTGCTGAGCAGCATCCAGGTATTGACACTCCTCCAGACAGAATTCTATGGCTACATCCCTGAATGTCAACAGTCCCTGAAAACACACCCACACCCACTTCAAGTGGCCATGGGCAGAATTCTTAAGTTGACTCAAGATAAAATGAGTGAAGAGAACTGATTCTGACTGATACGACTGAAATTGTCCTATAAAATAATTCCCAACAAAGAAATATTCTCTGTTGTATTCTCTATCTCTGAGAAAAGAGAGCATAAGATTCACAATACCAGTGTAGTGTATTGATGATATTTTTTGAATGATAAAGTACAAAATTAACAACAGGAACATAGACATGTACATTTTTGAGTGCTCCATTTAATCATACAGTATAAGTTCTACATATTTCTCAGATTAAAAACTCAGGCTTAGTTATAAAGTACCTCTCAAATTTTAATGTGTACAACCATAAACTGGAGATCATTTTATGCAGATTTTGTTTCAAGAAACCTGAGGTAAAACCTGAGTTTCTGAATTTCTAACAAGCTCACAAGTGGCACCAATCTTTCTGGCCCAAGATAAACATTTTGCCAAACATTCATTAAGTGACAGAGCCTGGGTTTTTATGACCAGTAAACAAAGATGAGGGACTTCACTTTTAAAAGAAAGACATATGCAAAGACAATCTAAGAAGAAAAGAGAACTTCCAGATTACATGTGATGCTTTGTGCACATCAGCTGGTAAATGTCCCCAGGGTACTCAATAATAAAGAGAAAAATAACTCTACGGTGGAAAAAAATTCTCAGAGAACTATTTAACTAAGCGAATCAAATTAACACCAATTATAACAACAAATTTTCATCATGCGCTGATGCTCACAGAAGGACACAATATCACTGCTGGGATACTGGCCCCCGCCAAAGAAGCAAATTATAATTCAAATCTAATCATAAAGAAACAAGTTTTATGCAAAATGCAAACTACAGTAATCACTCATGTTGTGTAATCTCTATTAAAGTATTTACACAGACTTTCTTTAGCATTCTAGAAAGAGAGTATCTTCTAATTATTTTTTTCAAAACTTTCTGAATTATTCTGGGTAATAAATGCCATCTTGTTCAAATGTGCATATTTTAATCCTGTTCCGCATCGAGTTGATGGAGCACACAGACAGTACTTCAACATTACATATTCCTATTTTTCATGAATATCTAAGAACCCCACCTCTTCCCCAGTAGGAATCTTGGGTATCCATACATTTCCATGTGCACCAGCACCAGCAACAAAGGGTATTTTTCTTTTTTTTTTTTTCTTTGGAGATGGAGTCTCTCTCTGTTGCCCAGGCTGGAGTGCAGTGGCACAATGTAGGCTCACTGCAGCCTCCAGAACCTCCACCTCCTGGGTTCAAGTGATTCTCTTGCCTCAGCCTCCCAAGTAGCTGGGATTACAGGCACCCGCCACCATGCCCAGCTATTTTTTGTATTTTTAGTAGTGACAGGGTTTCACCATGTTGGCCAGGCTGGTCTCGAACTCCTGACCTCAGGTCATCCACACATATCGGCCTCTCAAAGTGCTGGGATAATAGGCATGAGCCACTGCGTCCAGCCAAAGGGAATAATTTTAATATTATGAGTCATAAATTAATGGTGAGAATTCTGCATGGCAGAGAAGAAGCCAAGATGAAGAGAATGTCAAGAAGGCTCTAGTGTATAGAAAATAATATTTTTTCAGAGTTTCTTGACTATCATGAGAAGAAAAAGTGTTTAAACAAACTTATAGGGAGAAATAGCATAAAGTCAAGAAGTACAGGTTTGTAAGTTCTAAACATATGGCATTCCAGGAGGCAGAGTGAACACTGCTCCTGATCTGAGACACAGTCACCTGAGAAAAAGCCATTTTTCTCTTCATCATCCTTCTCTAGGATTTCTTCTCAGGTGATATTCTCTGGACAAGTCACACCTGCATCTTGGGAATATGCCTTTAAAGAAATCAGCACAATCTCTTCACCTGCTACCACCACAAACACAGGTAGAAAGATCCAGGCAGGCAGAAAATGTCCACCCATTTATGTTCTTTATAACAGGTGAGATTCAAGGACAGCGAGCTCCTCCACAAAGATCAAAATTTATCTTTCTCTTTTCCTGCCACAGATGCCACAATTTCTGCTACAGCAATGGGGATACGGGCCACACTAACTTGTCCCTACCAAATCCAACCATAGCAGGCCCTGTGACCTCCCTTTGGAATAAAGTTTGAACTCAACTCTCATGAATGTATTTTGAAATCCTCATGTTTGACCCTGGCCTCAACCTGGAGTCACATGAGGCACTTAATTATATCAACAAGGATGCTTCCACCCAGAACAATATACAGAGCCTGTGGGAAGGGTACAAGTGAAAAGATTTCTGCAACCTGGCCATGGAATCTTAATTAGAAGCCTGGGCCAAGAACCACTTAGCTAAACATTGCCTCTCAAACTTCAATGTGCATATAAATCATTTGGTAACCCTGGCCCCACACTATGTAATGTGATTCTGCAGGTTTTAAAAGCATCCATGAAAGTGCATTTTAAACACATCTCCTGTCAATGCTGATGTAGCTTCCCCAGACCCATCATTAGTAGCATTTAGCTAGAGAAAGCAGGCATGGAACAGACTCTTACTCTCATCACTCATCACAACACAAATACTTCTGATCAAATAAACAATCAATCTCTATCCTGAAAAACCACATTCTTTGCTAGCTCTTTAACTTCAGAGACAGGAGAAGGCAACAACGTCTGAGTAAGTCTGCACTGAAAAACAACATGTACACATATACTTATGCAATGCTTATGAAGCAGGTACTATGTGCTCAGGAGTGTGTTACAGAGCACTGTGCTGGGAACATCACATTATGTGATTTAATCTTCATAACAACTTGAGAGTTGGGTCCTAAGAGTTCAATAATTCTCAGAATTTAGATGAAGGGGCCAGCATTGTTTTCTTCCCTGTTTATCTCATTGATTTTTTTTTTCTGGACGGAGTTTCACTCTTGTTGCCCAGGCTGGAAGTGCAATGGCATGATCTCAGCTCACCACAACATCCGCCTCCTGGGTTCAAACGATTCTCCTGCCTCAGCCTCCCGAGTAGTTGGGATTACAGGCATGCACCATGACACTGAGCTAAGTTTCTATTTTTAGTAGAGACAGGGTTTCTCCATGTTGGTCAGGCTGGTCTCGAACTCCCAAGCTAAAGTGATCCGCGCACCTTGGCCTCCCAAAGTGCTAGTATTACAAGCATGAGCCACAGAGCCCGGCCTCTCACTGATTTTTTTTTAAAATGTATAGCATAAGAGATAAATATAAAGAGATGGGAGGGATACAGAAAGGAAAGGGTTAAGGGTAGTTTAAAGGGATTTTTTATTGTGTTTCTATTTACTTTTTTGTGACTGTGGAGTAACTACTGGGATGGAATGTCTCTACAAGCACTGGTTTTAATTAAAAAGAAAGAAGTTAAGACCTCAAAATATATAGTTTATTGCTCTAATTTATCTGCTTTTGGGTTTCAGAATATTGTGAGCATAAGCTCTGGAGAGGCAGCAGGAGCCACCTCCCAAATCTCTGGTCTCCTCTAATGAGTTCTGTGAGGAGAAACTCCAGGGTGGGACCAGACGTGAATGAGCCTCAGAAAAGTGTGAATCTGGACAGAGCTGGGGTGGAGAAACGGTCCTATGTTGAATTATGATCTCTATGCTGCTGGAGTACTTCTTGTTCTGTCTTTCCTAAGCCTGTCCAAGAGAAACTTAAGAGTTTGTATAATTTTAATCCATTTAGCCACTACTCTATTTTATAACATATAATAACAAGCAATTTAACCAAAACTTTTAGGGCTTTCTAGGATAATTTTATCAGAAAATATGTATTCTTAGCAAGGTAAAAGCAATAGAAATACAAATAACTCTCCTGTTTGAGAATAGCTCTTCAGGAGGTGATATCAGAAGTCACAACAACATCAGAGTCATCGCCCAAGTCCCCTTAACACTCCCACTTTATTGTATTGACTATATGATGCTTAATTAAACCATTTATCCAGTTGCTCTAGACTGAAAGTTTTTGAATGACAGTGACCCTGACTGCTTCATCTATTTTTCTAAAGGCCATATGAAATGGAGGCAATCTGTTTATCAGTCTGAGTCTCCAGAACTCCTGAATTTTTTGCCAAGGAAACTGGAGAAACTCTCGTCCAGGTACCAACCAAGGAGATTCTTTCTACAAAAGAAGGAACAGACACTGAATGACTCATTTCCCTTCCTCTAACATGGAAGCAGAATTAGGCACTCCTGCCAGCCTGACCCAAGTCTGTACAGGACATCCTGAAATGTCTTAAAGATTCCCGGGTGATTGTGAGAGGATTCCTAGTGACCATAGACTGATGACCATATGTTGATCCAAGTAGGAAAGACTCAAGCTGATTCTAAATAGAAAATGGAACTGCCCTGGTAGAGCTCCAGAATCTGGATCTACGTGTGATATCACCTGTTCTGATTAGCTAGGTCTTAGGTAAGAGAAAGGACAAGAATACTCTACTCCAGTATCACATTTTACAAATAGGTAAACTTATGTCATTGCTCTGGGTATTTTGTGGCTTTGATCTCTCCCTGCTGACATGCATGTTTACACTTACAGATTGTGCAACCAGATTCTATTTACACCAGCAGCCTCTCACATAACCATAGCAGGTCACTGGAAAAGATCTGGAAAGCTCAAAGGGATACACTCTGAAAGGAGGGCTTTAAGATTTCTATGCTGACATCTCACAGATCAGAAAATGTCTCCTATGGGTTTTCTGTACATTCTTAATCCAAAATCTGGCTCTCTCCTGTGAATCCCAGGGAGAGCTCAGCTCTTATGTACAGATTACAGGTAAGATCAACCTGACTCTTCATTCTTTGGTGTTACAGCAAGGAGAGTAAAAAAAAAAAAAAAGTTTCCATCATAAAGTCTGCTCTAGCACATGATATGTCAGCCTAAAAAGAAAAGGCTAAGGCAACACTCATTTAAGAAGAGAGTTTATTTGGGCCAAGCCTGAGGATTGAAATCTGGGAGCATAGATTCAAGTTGCCTTGAATGTATACTTTAATTAGCAGCAGTTACAAGTGGATTTACAGAGGCAAAAGAGAGGGACAGGGAGAGGACTGAAACAAAGTTGTTTGTCAGAAATTCTTCTTGATCTACAGAAATAACATTGATGACTAATTGGCTATATATTTTTAAGCTGTGAGGTATTGCTTATAACATCTAGTGTGGCATTATTAGGTTAATTTATATCTACTTGTAGGAATAGCAAACAGTTTCGAGAGGTAAACACGTAGCTCAAAGGAGGCAGTAGAACATAATTATGTTCTCATTTTTATGTCTCTCTGGGCCTGATAAAACTAAAAGGACTTGCCCTCCTCAGATCAAAGTTATTCTTTTTCCTCTAATCTCAAGACCGAGGTTCAGAATTTGGTACTGTAGATTTAGGTCCTGGATGGATGGAGAAATGACAGGTATTAACTGCACATTTATGGGAATTTTGGGAGGAGAAGAAAGAGGAACTTTGAGATACTCACGTTTACTCAATGCACACATGTCACCCTAATTGTTCTTCTGGTCCTAATAGTCTCCAACTCAGTTTCAGGTCTCAAGACACTATGGTCTCTGAAAGAGGTGAAATGGCTGATTACTATCCTGTGAATTTTGTCACCCACTTGTAGAAAGGCTTAACGTCTCTATGAGTGGTTGTAGAGGACTATAGATGTGAAACAGGCAGAGACACAAGTCTGCTTGCATACTCTGGGGGCAGTGTGCACTTTGAAGCACAACTGACTGGGTTGACTGGAAGCCTGAGGGGGAAAGCCTTCTCTAAAGTGAAGCTTGGTGGGCATTTTATACATATATACAATGTCTGGTAATTGTGAACAGTGTTTGAGAAATATAATTAAAAGGAAAATTATCTCCAATCCTAGAAAAACCCCACAATAACAGAACAGAAAGAAAAGTGTTTTATTGAACAATAAAACCAGAATGTGATGCGACATGAATCACAGACAATCTGCTCAAGAGATTGCAAAGACAGAAGGGTCTCTATAATTAGTCCTCAAGTAGAAGATTTCACAGCATCATTTGTCATACACAGTTTATCCTAAGTTCACCTGGTAATTGGGGAGGCCATCTGTGTACGTTAATTAGTTATATTGAAAGGAAAAATGAACTTCTGACATCTTCATGATAGGAGGTAGTTTTGCAACTTACAGCCAGGTGCCTGCCGAAAGTAGGCTCTGGTTCTTTCACAGACACTGTGAGATAGGATATTATTCTTTTGGCTATTTACATTTCAAAGCAAAGGGTCCCTACTCCCTAGGCCACGGGCTGCAGCAATCCTGCTTGCCCTGTCCTGGTGGCCTGTGTCCCATCTCTTCCCCTACCATCTACCATCGAGGCACAGCTCACAGCACACTGCTGGCAGCCCACATTCCACATGGACTCCAACCACCACAGCTGCACTCCAGTGTCACATTATGGAGCAGGGTCCCTGAACGGCAGGAGGAGAACCTGCAGGACTCCTGGGTAGGATTGCACTTTTGCAATAATGGAAATGGGAGCAATGTTTCAGCTACTTTTCTATTTATAATGGTGACAAAAAAATACTGCTTGATTCCCAGCATGGGTCTGGATAGAGTGCGAAAGAGTTCTCATTGTGACAGCCCAACTCACTCGGAAACACCATGAGACACTTTTGGGGGTCCCTTCTGAAGACAGACACCGAAGGCATTGAAGAGAAAAACAGCTCTCAGTCTGAATAAAATTGTATTAAGAGGTTAAAAGCATCTGAAAGAAAAATTCAGATTACATATAATATTAGCCAAGTCGACCAGAAAATACTCACTCCCCTGAGACAGTTTCCTCTCTAAACACCCAAAATGCACAGCTGCTCTCAACACAAGAAACACAGTGTTATGAAGAAAGGGGGCATATTCTCAGCAGAATTTCTTAAGATTTTCCTTCCATCTCTGCTGCTCTCTCATCTGCTGGCCATTGGATTGAGGATCTACACTGGAACACATCAGGCAACCTTCGCCAGCACTTTTTGATAAAGAATTGGAATTTGACTCTGTTTACATAGTAGATACTATATCTGAGATTGCAACATATCTAACTGAAGACTATTATGATTCATGAATTTTGGGTCGTCACAACACTTGCATTGATTTGTTCTGTAAGAGTGACATTCCTAATTTAGTAAAACATAAGAATAGACTGTAAGGCAGGACGCGGTGGCTCACACCTGTAATTCCAGCACTTTGGGAGGCTTAGGTGGATCACCTAGGTCGAGAGTTGAAGACCAGCCTGGCCAACACGGTGAAACCCCGTCTCTACTAAAATACAAAAACTAGCCAGGCGTGGTGGCAGACAACTGTAATCCCAGCTACTTAGGGGTTGAGGCAAGAGAATCGCTTGAACCCAGGAGGCAGAGGTTCCAGTGAGCTGAGATCACGCCACTGCACTCCAGCCTGGGTGACAGAGCCAGACTCCATCCCAAAAAAACAAAAAACAAAACAAAACAAAAGATAGAATGTAAAATTTTGCTAACCTACTACTCTATCTTTTGTTTTGTTTTGTTTTTTGAGACAGAGTTTTGCTCTTGTTGCCCAGGCTGGAGTGCAATGATGCAATCTCAGCTCACTGCAGCCTCCACCTCCCAGGTTCAAGTGATTCTCCTGCTTCAGTCTCCCGATTAGCTAGGATTACAAGCATGCACCACCATTCCCTGATAATTGTGTATTTTTTTTAGTAGAGACGGGGTTTCTCCATGTTGGTCAGGGTGGTCTCAAACTCCTGACCTCAGGTGATCCGCCTGCCTTGGCCTCCCAAAGTGCTGTGATTATAGGTGTGAGCCACTACACCCAGCTGACCTATTATTATATCTATGGGATGAATTAATAAGCATGTCAGATTAATATCTACTGTAACAATTAGATAGTAAATTTTCTTTGGATATTAGATATAAATATCTAAGTATAAATAATCTTAGTATACTAGTGATGACATACATTTTTTAAATTATCTGTAACCTTAACTCAGTTATAATACTTTATATTTCAAAAGAATAAATAACGATATTAAAATTACTATTTAAGGTATTTATTCATAGTAAATATTGTGGCCTTATATTCACATGATTGTAGAAAATACTGTTTAATTTAGATGGATGATTGTTGTCTACTGAAGACTACATAAAACTATGTTAATTCTTTTTTTATTTTTTTATTTTTTAAATTTATTATTATACCTTAAGTTTTAGGGTACATGTGTAAAATGTGCAGGTTTGTTACATATGTATATATGTGCCATGTTGGTGTGCTGCATCCATGAATTTGTCATTTAGCATTAGGTATATCTCCTAATGCTATCCCTCCCCATCCCCCCACACTGACCTCACATAGGATTCCAGAACACTGCTGGGTTCTGAGTGTTTGTCCCTCACATAGGATTCCAGAACTGTTCTGTAATCCTTTGTAAGGGATAAACATTCAGACCCTCGTAGCAGTGTTCCAGAATCCTATGTGAGGGACAAAAACTCAGAACCCAGCAGCAGTGTTCTGGAATCCCGTGTGAGCCACAAACATTCAGAACTTCGTAGCAGTGTTCTGGAATTCTATGTGAGGGACAAACACTCAGAACCCAGCAGCAGTGTTCTGGAGTCCAATGTGAGGGACAAACACTCAGAACCCAGCAGCAGTGTTCTGGAATCCTATGTGAGGGACGAATACTCTGAACTCAGCAGCAGGTTTCCGGAATCCCATGAGAGGGACAAATACTCAGAACCCAGCAGCAGTGTTCTGGGATCCTATGTGAGGGACAAACACTCAGAACCCAGGAGCGGTGTTCTAGAATCCTTTGTGAGGGACAAACACTCAGAACCCAGCAGCAGTGTTCTGGAATCATATGTGAGGGACAAACACTCAGAACCCAGCAGCACTGTTCTGGAATCCTAAGTGAGGGACAAACACTCAGAACCCAGCAGCAGTGTTCTGGAATCCTTTGTGATGGACAAACATTCAGACCCTCGTAGCAGTGCACTGGAATCCTATGTGAGGGACAACCACTCAGAACCCAGGAGCAGTGTTCTGGAATCCTCTGTGAGGGACAAACACTCAGAACACAGCAGCAGTGTTCTGGAACCTTATGTGAGAGACAAACACTCAGAACCCAGCAGAAGTGTTCTGGAATCCTATGTGATGGACAAATACCCAGAACCCACCCACTGTCTTCTGGAATCCTATCTAAGGGACAAACATTCAGACACTTGCAGAAGTGTTCTGGAATCCTATGTGAGGGACAAACCCTCAGCAACCAGGAGCAGTGCTCTGAAATCCTTTGTAAGGGACAAACAAACAGAATCCAGTAGCAGGGTTCTGGAATCCTTTCTGAGGGAAAAACATTCAGACCCTCTTAGCAGTGTTCTGGAATCTTTGTGTGGGACATTCAGACCCTCGTAGCAGTGTTCTGGAAACCAATGTGAGTGCCAAACACTCAGAACCCAGCAACAGTGTTGTGGAATACTTGGTAAGGAACAAACATTCAGACAATCGCAGCATTGTTCTGGAATCCTAAGTGAGGGACAAACACTCAGAAATGAGCTGCAGTGTTCTAGAATTCTATGTAAGGGACAAACCCTCAGTACCGAGCGGCAGTGTTCTGGAATTCTATGTGAGGGACAAACACTCAGAACAAAGCAGCAGTGTTCTGGAATCCTCTGTGAAAGACAAACACTCAGATCCCAGCAGCAGTGTTCTGATACCCTATGTGAGGGACAAACACTCAGAACCCAGCCACTGTGTTCTGAAATCCTATCTGAAGGACAAACATTCGGAGCCTCGTAGAATTGTTCTGGAATCCTATGTGAGGGACAAACACTCAGAAACCTATAGCAGTGTTCTGGAATCCTTTGTGACGGACAAACAAATAGAGCCCAACAGCCGTGTACTGTAATCCTATTTGACAGACAAACGCTCACAACTCAGAAGCAGTGTTCTGCAATCATTTGTGAGGGACAAACATTCAGAACCTCGTAGCAGTGTTCTGGAATCGTATGTGAGGGACAAACACTTTGAACCTAGCAGTTGTGTACTGGAATCCCATGTGAGGGACAAACACTCAGAACCCAGCAGCAGTGCTCTGGAATCCTATGTGAGTGACAAACACTAAGAAACCAGCAGCAGTGTTTTAGAATCCTTTGTGAGGGACAAACATTCAGACCATCGAAACAGTGTTCTGGAATCCTGTGTGAGGGACAAACACTCAGATCCAGCAACAGTGTTCTAAAATCCTTTGTGATGGACAAAAATTCAGACCGTCATAGCCGTTTTCTGGAATCCAAGGTGAGGGACAAACACTCAGAACCCAGCAGCAGTGTTCTGGAATCCTATGTGAGGGACAAACACTCAGATCCAGCAGAAGTGTTCTGGAATACTCTGTGAGGGAAAAACATTCAGATACTCTTAGTAATGTTCTGGAATCCTACGTGAGGGAAAAACATTCAGATACTCGTAGCATTGTTCTGGAATCCTATATGAGGGGCAAACACTCAGAACCCAGCAACAGTGTTCTGGAGTGCTTTTGTGAGGGAAAAACATTCAGACCCTCGAAGCAGTGTTCTGGAATCCTATGTGAGGTACAAACACTCAGAACCCAGAAACAGTTTCCTTGAATCCTATGTGAGGGAGAAACACTCAGAACCCAGCAGCAGTGTTCTGGAATCCCATGTGAGTGTCAAACATTCAGAACCCAGCAGCATTGTTCTGGAATCCTATTTGAGCGACAAACATTCAGAACTTCGTACCTGTGTTCTGGAATGCTATGTGAGGGACAAACACTCAGAACCAAGCAGCAGTGTTCTGGAATCCTATGTGAGGGAGAAACACTCGGAACCCAGCAGCAGTGTTCTGGAATCCTATGTGAGGGTCAAACACTAAGAATCCAGCAGCAGTGTTCTGGAATCCTTTGTGAGGGACAAACATTCAGAACCTTTAGCAGTGTTCCGGAATTTTATGTGAGGGAAAACACTCTGAACCCAGCAGGAGTGTTTTTGAATCCCATGTGAGGGACAAATACACAGAACCCTGCAGCAGTGCTCTGGAATACTTTGTGAGGAACAAACATTGAGACTCTCAAAGCAGTTTTCTGGAATCCATTGTGAGGGACAGTCAGAACCCATAGCAGTGTTATGAATCCTTTGTGATGGACAAATATTCAGACCATCGTAGCAGTGTTCTGGTATCCTGAGTGAGGGACAAACACTCAGAAACCAGCAGCAGTGCTCTGGATCCCTTTGTGAGGGGCAAACAAACAGAACCCAGCAGGAGAGTTCTGGAATCCTATGTGAGGGACAAACACTCAGAACCCAGCAGCAGTTTTCTGGAATTCTTTGTGAGGGACAACATTCAGAAAATCATAGAAGTGTTCTGGAAACGTATGTGCGTGACACACTAAGAAACCAGCAGAAGTGCTCCTGAATCCTTTGACAGGGACAAACAATAGAAACCAGCCACAGTGTTCTGGAAGCCTTTGTGGGGGAAAAACATTGAAACCCTCGTAGCAGTGTTCTGGAATCCTATATGAGGGACAAACAGTCAGAACCCAGCAACAGTGCTCTGGAATCCTTTGTGAGAGACAAACATTCAGACACTCAGCAGTGTTCTGGAATCCTATGTGAGGGAAAAACATTCAGACCGTCGTGCATTGTTCTGGAATTCTATATATGGCACAAACACTCAGAACTCAGCAGCAGTGCTCTGGAACCCTATGTGAGGGAAAAACACTCAGAACCCAGCAGGATTGTTCTGGAATGCTATGTGTGGGACAAACACTCAGAACCCAGTAGCAGAGTTCTGGAATCCTATGTGAGGGACAAACACTCAGAACACAGCAGCTGTGTTCTGGAATCCTTTGTGATGCACAAAGTTTCAGAACCTCACAGCAGTGTTCTGGAATCGTATGTGAGGGACAAACACTCAGAACCCAGCAGCAGTGTTCTAGAATCCTTTGAGAGGGAAAAACATTCAGAGCCTTGAAGCAGTGTTCTGGAATCCTATGTGATGGACAAACACTCAGAACCCAGCAGCAATATTCCGGAGTCCTTTGTGATGGACAAACATTCCGACCCTCGTAGCAGTGTTCTGCAATCCTATGTGAGGGATAAACACTCAGAAGCCAGCAGCTGTGTTCTGGAATCCCATGTGAGGGATAAACTCTCAGAACCCAGCAGCAGTCTTCTGTAATCCTATATGAGTGAGAAACACTCAGAACCCTGCAGCAGTTTTGTAGATTCCACTGTGAGATACAAACATTCAGACCCTCGTAGAAGTGTTCTGGAATCCTATGTGAGGGAAAAACTCTCAGAAACCTGCAGCAGTGCACTGGAGTCCCTTGTGAGGGACAAACAAACACAACTGAGCAGCAGTGTTCTGGATTCCTTTGAGAGGCAAAAATATTCAGACCCTCGTAGCAGTGTTCTGGAATCCTATGTGAGGGACAAACACTCAGAACCCACCAGCAGTATTCTGGAATCCTATGTGGGGGACAAACACAACCCAGCCACAGTGTTCTGGAATCCTCTGTGAGCGACAAACATTCAGAAATTCGTAGCAGTGTTCTGAAATCCTATATGAGGGACAAACACTCAGAACCCAGCCACTGTGTTCTGGAATCCTATGTGAGGGACAATCATTCAGACCCTCGTAGCTGTGTTCTGTAATCTTATCTGAGGGACAAACATTCAGACCTTAGTATCAGTGTTCTGGAATCCTATGTGAGGGACAAACGCTCAGAACCCAGCAGCACTGTTCTGGAATCCTATGTGAGGGACAAACACTCAGAACCCAGCAGCAGTACTCTGGAATAATTTGTGAGGGACAAACATTCAGACAATCATAACAGTGTTCTGGAATCCTATGTGAGGGACAAACACTCAGAACGCAGCAGCAGTGTTCTGGAATCCTATGTGAGGGACAAACACTCAGAACGCAGCAGCAGTGTTCTGGAATCCTATGTGAGGAACAAACACTTAGAACCCAGCAGCACTGTTCTGGAATCCTATGTGAGGGACAAACACTCGGAAAGCCGCAGCAGTGTTCTGGAATCCTATGTGAGGGTCAAACACTCAGAAACCTGCAGCAGTGCTCTGGATTCCTTTGTGAGGGACAAACAAACAGAACCCAGCAGCAGAGTTCTGGAATCCTATGTAAGGGACACTCAGAACCCAGCAGCAGCATTCTGGAAACCTTTGTGAGGGACAAACATTCAGATCCTCATAGCAGTGTTCTGGAATCCTATGTGAGAGACAAACACTAAGAAAGCTGCAGCAGTGTTCTAGAATCCTATGTGAGGGACAAACACTCAGAGCCCAGCAGCAGTGTTCTGCAATCCTTTGTGAGGGTCAAACACTCAGACGCTCAGAACAGTGCTCTGTAATCCTATGTGAGGGATAAACACTCCGAACCCTGCAGCAGTGCTCTGAATTCGTATGTGAGGGACAAGCATTCAGCTCCTCATAGCCCTGTTCTGGAATTCTCTGTGAGGGTCAAACATTCAGAACCTCGTAGCAATGTTCTGAAATACTATGTGAGGTACAAAGCCTCAGAACTCAGCAGTAGTGTTCTGGAATCCTACGTGAGTGACAAACACTCAGAAACCAGCAGCAGTGTTCTAGAATCCTTTGTGAGGGACAAACATTTAGACTCTCGAAGCAGTGTTCTGTTATCCTATGTGAGGGACACTCAGATCCAGTAGCATTGTTCTGGAATCTTTTATGATGGACAAACATTAAGGTCCTCGTAGCAGTTTTCTGGAATCCTATGTGAGGGGCAAACACTCAGAACCCAGCAGCAGTGTTCTGGAATCCAGTGTGTGGTACAAACACTCAGAACCGAGCCAGTGTGTACTGGAATCCTATCTCAGGGCCAAACATTCAGACCTTCGCAGAAGTGATCTGGAATCCTATGTGCGCAACAAACACTAAGTAACCAGCAGCAGTGCTCTGGAATCCTTTGTGAGGGACAAACAGAAACCAGCAGCAGTGTTCTGGAAGCCTTTGTGAGTGAAGAACATTCAGACCCTCGTAGCAGTGTTCTGGAATCCTACGTGCGGGACAATCACTCAGAAGCCAGCAGCACTGTTCTGGAATCCTATGTGAATGACAAATATTCAGAACCCAGAATCAGTGTTCTGGATTCCTAAGTGAAGGACAAACTCTCAGAACCCAGCAGCAGTTGTCTGCAATCTTTCATGAGAGACAAATATTGAGTCTCAAACCAGTGTTCTGGAATCCTATGTAAGGGACAAGCATTCAGAGCCTCGTAGCAGTGCTCTGGAATCCTATATGAGGTACAAACACGAAGAACCCAGCAGCACTGTTCTGGAACCCTATGTGAGGGACAAACACTCAGAACCCAGCAACAGTGATCTGGAATCCTATGTGAGGGACAAACACTCAGAACCCAGCCACAGTGTTCTGGAATCCTATGTGATAGACGAACACTCAGAACCCAGCATCAGTGTTCTGGAATCCTTTGTAAGGGACAAGCAATCAGGACACAGCAGCTCTGTTCTGGAATCCTATGTGAGCGACAAACCTTCAGAACTTCTTAGCAGTGTTCTGGAATTGTATGTGAGGGACAAACACTCAGAAGCCAGCAGCAGTGTTCTGGAATGCTAAGTGAGGGACAAACACTCAGAACCCAGCATCAGTGTTTTGGCATCCTATGTGAGGGACAAACATACAGAACCCGGAAGCAGTGTTCTAGAATCCTTTGTGAGGGACAAACACTCAGAAACCAGTAGCAGTGTTCTAGAATCCTTTGTGAGGGACAAATATTCAGAACCTCGTAGCAGTGATCTGGAATCCTATGTGAGGGACAAACACTCAGAATCCAGCCACAGTGTACTGGAATCCTATCTGAGGGCAAACATTCAGAACCTCGGAGAAGTGTTCTGGAATCCTATATGAGGGGCAAACACTAAGAAATATGCAGCAGTGCTCTGGAATCCTTTGTGAGAGGCAAACAAACAGAACCCAGTAGCAGTGTTCTAAGATCCTTTGTAAGGGAAAACATTCAGACCCTCGTAGCAGTGTTCTGGAATCCTATGTGAGGTAAAACATTCAGACCCTCATAGCAGTGTTCTGGAATCCTATATGAGGGACAAACACTCAGAACCCAGCAGCAGTGTTCTGGAATCTTTTGGGAGGGAAAAACATTCACACCCTCGTAACAGTGTTTTGGAATCCTATGTGAGTGAAAAATATTCAGACCCTCGTAGCATTGTTCTGGAATCCAATATGAGGGACAAACACTCAGAATCCAGTAACAGTGTTCTGGAACCCTCCGTGAGGGATAAACATTCAGACCCTCATAGCAGTGTTCTGGAATCCTATGTGAGGGACAAACACTCAGAACCCAGCAGCAGTGTTCTAGAATCCTTTGTGAGGGACAAACATTCAGACCCTCTTAGCAGTGTTCTGGAATCCTATGTGAGGGACAAACATACAGACCAGAGCAGGAGAGTTCTGGAATCCTACGTGATCATCAAAATTTCAGACGCTAGCAGCAGTGTTCTTTGATCCTCTCTGAGGGAAAAACATTCACAACCTCGTATCAGTGTTCTGCAATCCTAGGTGAGGGACAGACATTCAGAACCCAGCATTAGTGTTCTGGAATCCTATGTGAGGAACTCACATTCAGACCCTTGTACCAGTGTTCTGGAATCCTCTGTGGGGGACAACAATTCAGAGGCTTGTAGCAGTGTTCTGGAATCCTTTGTGAAGGACACATGTTCAGACGACAGCAGGAGTGTTCTTGAGTCCTATGTGGGGGACAAACACGCAGAACACAGCAGCAGTGTCCTGGAATCATATGTGAGGGACAAACATTCAGACCGGAGCAGGACTATTCTGGAATTCTATCTGAGGGACACACATTGAGACACTCGTAGCAGTGTTCTGGAATTCTATGTGAGTGACAAACACACACAACCCAGCAGCAGTGTTCTGGAATCCTATCTGAGGGACAAACATTCAGACCCTCGTAGCAGTGTTCTGCAATCCTATGTGAGGGACAAACACTCAGAACCCAGCGGCAGTGTACTGGAATCCTATGTGAGGAACAAATACCCAGAACCCAGCAGCAGTGCTCGGGAATTCTAGGTGAAGGACAAACCCTCAGAAACCAGCAGCAGTGTTCTGGATTCAATTGTGAGGGACAAACATTCAGACACTCATACCACTGTTTGTAATGCTATATGAGGAATAAATATTCAGACCCCCGTAGCAGTGTTCTGAAATCGTATGTAAGGGACAAACACTCAGAAAACAGCAGCAGTGTTCTGTAATCCTATGAGAGGGACAAGCACTCAGAATCCAGCAGCACTGTTCGGGAATTCTATGTGAGGGACAAACCCAGAGAACGCAGCAGCAGTGTTCTGGAATCCTTTGTGAGGGACAAACATTCAGACACTCAGAGCAGTGTTCTGGAATCCTATGTGAGGGACAAACACTCAGAACCCTGCAGCAGTGTTCTGGAATCCTATCTGAGGGACAAGCATTCAGACCCTCATAACACTGTTCTGGAATGCTCTGTGAGTGACAAACATTCAGATCCTCGAAGCAGTGTTCTGGAATCCTATGTGAGGTACAAACCCTCAGAACTCAGCAGCAGTGTTCTGGAATTCTATGAGAGGGAAAAACCCTCAGAGCCTAGCAGCAGTGTTCTGGAATGGTACGTGAGGGACTAACACTCAGAACCCAGCAGCAGTGTTCTGGAATGCTACGTGAGAGACAAACACACAAAACCCAGCAGCAGTGTTCTGGTATCCTATATGAGGGACACACACTCAGAACCCAGCAGAAGTGTTCTGGAATCCTAAGTGATGGACAAATACTCACAAAACAGCAGCAGTGTTCTGGAATCCTATGTGAGGTACAAACATGCAGACCCTTGGAGCAGTGTTCTGGAATGCTATGTGAAGGACAAACAGTCAGAACCCAATAGCAGTGTTCTGGAATCCAATGTGAGGGAAAAGAATTCAGACACTGCAGCAGTGATACAGAATGCTTTCTGAGGGACAAACATACAGACCCTCGTAGCAGTCTTCTGGAATCCTATGTGAGGGACAAACACTCAGAAGCCAGCAGCAGAGTTCTGGAATCCTTTGTGTGGGAGAAACACTCAGAACTCAAAAGCAGTGTTCTGGAATCCCTTTGAGGGACAAACATTCAGACCATCGTAGGAGTGTTCCGGAATAGTATGTGAGGGACAAACATTCAGAACCCAGCAGCAGTGTTCTGGAATCCTTGGTGAGGAACAAACTTTCAGAACCTCTGAGCAGTGTTCGGGAATCCTACGTTTGGGACAAACACTCAGAACCCAGCAGCTGTGTTCTGCAATCCTATGTGAGGGACAAACACTCAGAACCCACAAGCGGTGCTCTGGAATCTTTGTGAGGGACAAACATTCAGACCCTTGTAGCCATGTTCCGGAATCCCATGTGATGGGGAAACCCTCAGAACCCAGCAGCGGAGTTCTAGAATTCTACATGAGGGACAATCCCTCAGAACCTAGCATCAGTATTCTGCAATGCTATGTGAGGGAAAAACCCTCAGAACCCAGCAGCAGTGTTCTGGAACTCAATGACAGGGACAATCCCTCAGATCCCAGCAGAAGTTTTCTGGAATCTTAAGTGAGGGACAAACACTCAGAACCCAGCAGCAGTGTTCTGGAATCCAATGTGAAGGACAAACACTCAGAACCCAGCAGCAGTGTTCTGGAATATTATGTGAGGGACAAACACTCAGAACCCAGTAGCATTTTTCTGCAATTCTTTGTGAGAGACAAACTTTCATACCCTTGTATCAGTGTTCTAGAATCCTATGTGTGAGATAAACACTCAGAACCCAGCAGCAGTGGTCTGGAATCCTCTGTGAAGAACAAACACTCAGAACCCAGCAGCAGTGGTCTGGAATCTTCTGTGAAGAACAAACACTCAGAACCCAGCAGCAGTGATCTGGAATCCTATGTGAGGGACAGACATTCAGAACCCAGCAGCAGTGTTCTGGAATCCAATGTGAGGGGCAAACACTCAGAACCCAGAAGCAGTGTTTAGGAATCATATGTGAGGGAAAAACATTCAGAACCCTGCAGCAGTGATCTGGAATCCTGTGTGAGAGACAAGCATTCAGACCCTGGTAGCACCGGTCTGGAATGCTCTGTGAGGGACAAACATTCAGACCCTCGTAGCAGTGTTCTGGAATCCTATGTGAGGAATAAACCCTCGGAACTCAGCAGCAGTGTTCTGGAATTCTATGTGACAGACAAACCGTCAGAACCAAGCAGCAGCATTCTGGAATTCTATGTGAGGGACAATCACTCAGAAACCAGCAGCAGCGTTCTGGAATTCTATGTGAGGGACAATCACTCAGAAACCAGCAGCAGTGTTCTGGTATTCGATATGAGGGACACACACTCAGAACCCAGCAGAAGTGTTCTGGAATCCTATGTGAGAGAAATACACTCACAAACCAGCAGCAGTGTTCTGGATTCCTATGTGAGGGACAAACATTCAGACCCTCGGAGCAGAGTTCTGGAATCCTTTGTGAAGGACAAACACTCAGAACCCAGTAGCAGTGTTCTGGAATGCTATGTGTGTGACAAGCATTCGGGTACTCATTGCAGTGATACAGAATCCTTTGTGAGGGACAAACATTCAGACCCTCGTAGCAGTGTTCTGGAATCCTATGTGAGGGACAAACATTCAAACCCTCGGAACAGAGTTCTGGAATCTTTTGTGAAGGGCAAACACTCAGAACCCAGTAGCAGTGTTCTGGAATACTATGTGTGTGACAAGCATTCAGGTACTCGTTGCAGTGATAAGGAATCCTTTATGAGGGACAAACATTCAGACCCTCATAGCGGTGTTCTGGAATCCTATGTGAGGGACATTCAGACCCTCGTAGAAGTGTTCTGGAAACCATTGTGAAGGCGAAACACTCAGAACCCAGCAGCAGTCTTCTGGAATAGTTGGTAAAGGACAAACATTCAGACAATCATAGCAGTGTTCTGGAATCCTAAGTGAAGGAGAAACGCTCAGAAACCAGCTGTGGTGTTCTAGAATTCTATGTGAGGGAGAAACACTCAGAACAAAGCAGCAGTGTTCTGGAATCCTATGTGAAGGACAAACACTCAGAACCCAGCAGCAGTGTTCTGATACCCTATGTCAGGGACAAACACTCAGAACCCAGCCACTGTGTTCTGGAATCCTATCTGAAGGAAAACACTCAGAAACTCTTAGAAGTTTTCTGGAATCCTATGTAAGGGACAAACACTCTGAACCCAATAGCAGTGTTCTGGTATCCTATATGAGGGACAAACACTCAGCACCCAGCAGAAGTGTTCTGGAATCCCATATGAGGGACAAACAATCACAAACCAGCAGCAAATGTTCAGGAATCCTATGTGAGGGACAAACATTCAGAGCCTCGGAGCAGTGTTCTGGAATCCTATGTGAAGGACCAACAGTCAGAACCCAGTAGCAGTGTTCTGGAATCCTATGTGAAGGACAAGCATTCAGACACTCTTAGCATTGATACAGAATGCTTTCTGAGGGAAAAACATGCAGACCCTCATAGCAGTGTTCTGAAATCCTATGTGAGGGACAAACACTCAGAAGCCAGCAGCTGTGTTCTGGAATCCTTTGTGTCAGACAAACACTCAGAACTCAAAAGCAGTGTTCTGGAATCCCTTTGAGGGACAAACATTCAGACTCTCATAGCAGTGTTCCGGAATAGTATGTGAGGGACAAACATTCAGAACCCAGCAGCAGTGTTCTGGAATCCTTGGTGAGGAACAAACTTTGAAACCCTCCAAGCAGTGTCCTGGAATCCTACGTTTGGGACAAACCCTCAGAACCTAGCAGCTGTGTTCTGCAATCCTATGTGAGGGACAAACACTCAGAACCCACAAGCGGTGCTCTGGAATCTTTGTGAGGGACAAGCATTCCTACATTTTAGCAGTGTTCCGGAATCTCATGTGATAGAGAAACGCTCAGAACCCAGCAGCAGAGTTCTAGAATTCTACGTGAAGGACAAACCTTCAGAACCCAGCAGCAGTGTTCTCATACTCAATGACAGGGACAATCCCTCAGATCCCAGCAGCAGTTTTCCGGAATCCTATGTGAGGGACAACACTCAGAACCCAACAGCAGTGTTCTGGAATCCAATGTGAGGGACAAACACTCAGAAACCAGCAGCAGTGTTCTGGAATCCTATGTGAGGGACAAACACTCAGAACCCAGCAGCACTTTTCTGCAATCCTTTGTGAGAGACAAACTTTCATAGCCTTGTAGCTGTTTTCTGGAATCCTATATGTGGAACCAACACTCAGAACCTAGGAGCAGTGGTCTGGAATCCTCTGTGAGGGACAAACACTCAGACCCTTGAAGCAGTGTTCTGGAATCCTGTGTGAAGGACAAGCATTCAGATCCAGCAGCAGTGCTCTGGAATCCTTTGTTATGGACAAACCTTCACAAGCTCATAGCAGTTTTCTGGAATCCTGTGTGAGGGACAAACACTCAGAAACCAGCAGCAGTGCTCTGGAATCCTTTGTTATGGACAAGCCTTCACAAGCTCATAGCAGTTTCCTGGAATCCTGTGTGAGGGACAAACACTCAGAAACCAGCAGCAGTGTTCTAGCATCCTTTGTGAGGGACAAACACTCAGAACCTCGAAGCAGTGTTCTGGAATCCTATGTGAGTGACAAACACTCAGAACCCAGAAGCAGTGTTCTGGAATCCTATGTGAGGGACCAACACTCAGAACCCAGCCACTGTGTACTGGAATCTTATCTGAGGGACAAATATTCAGACCATCGCAGAAGTGTTCTGGAATCCTGTGTGGAACAAACACTAAGAAACCAGCAGCAGTGCTCTGGAATCCTTTGTGAGGGACAAACAAACAGAACCCAGCAGCAGTGTTCTGGGATCCTTTGTGAGGGAAAAACATTCAGACCCTCATAGCAGTGTTCTGGAATCCTATATGAGGGACAAACACTCAGAACCCAGCAGCAGAGTTCTGCAATCCTTTGTGAGAGAAAAACATTGAGACCCTCTTAGCAGTGTTCTTGAATCCTACATGAGGGAAAAACATTCAGACCCTCGTAACATTGTTCTGGAATCCAATATAAGGGACAAACACTCAGAACCCAGCAGCAGTGTTCTGGAATCCTATGTGAGCCACAAACATTCAGAACTTCGTAGCAGAGTTCTGGAATCGTATGTGAGGGACAAACACTCAGAACCCAGCAGCAGTGTTCTGGAATCCTATGTGAGGGACAAACACTCAGAACCCAGCAGCAGTGTTCTGGAATCCTTTGTGAGGGACAAACATTCAGAAACTCGTAGCAGTGTTCTGGAATCGTATGTGAGGGATAACACTCTGAACCCAGCAGGACTGTTTTCGAATCCCATGTGAGGGACAATCACTCAGAACCCTGCAGCAGTGTTCTGGAATCCTATGTTAGTGACAAACTCTCAGAACTCAGAAGCAGAGGGAAAAGAAACTACCAAGGGTAGCCAAGATGACCGAATAGGAACAGCTCCTGTCTACAGCTCCCAGGGTCAGCAACGCAGAAGATGGGTGATTTCTGCATTTCCATCTCAGGTACCGGGTTCATCTCACTAGGGAGTGCCAGACAGTGGATGCAGGACAGTGGGTGCAGCACACAGTTCATGAGCTGAAACAGGGCGAGGCATTGCTTCACTTGGCAAGTGCAAGGGGTCAGGGAGTTCCCTTTCCTAGTCAAAGAAAGGGGTGACAGACGGCACCTGGAAAATCACATCACTCCCACCCTAATACTGCACTTTTCCGATGGTCTTAACAAACGGTGCACCAGGAGATTATATCCCACACCAGGCTCAGAGCGTGCTACGCCCACGGAGTCTCACTGATTGCTAGCACAGCAGTCTGAGATCAAACTGCAAGGCGGCAGTGAGGCTTGGAGAAGGTCGCTTGCCATTGCCCAGGCTTGCATAGGTAAACAAAGCAGTCAGGAACTAGAACTGGGTGGAGCCCACCACAGCTCAAGGAGGCCTGCCTGCCTCTTTAGACTCCACCTCTGGGGGCAGGGCACAGACAAACAAAAAGACAGCAATAACCTCTGCAGATTAAATGTCCCTGTCTGACAGTTTTGAAAAGAGCAGTGGTTCTCCCAGCACACAGCTGGAGATCTGAGAACGAGCAGACTGCCTCCTCAAGTGGGTCCCAGACCCCTGACCCCAAGCAGCCTAACTGGGAGGCACCCCCCAGTATGGGCAGACTGACACCTCACACAGCCGGGTACTCCTCTGAGACAAAACTTCCAGAGGAATGATCAGACAGCAGCATTCGCGGTTCATGAAAATCTGCTGTTCTGCAGCCACCGCTGCTGATACCCAGGCAAACAGGGACTGCAGTGGACTTCTAGGAAACTCCAACAGACCTGCAGCTGAGGGTCCTGTCTGTTAGAAGGAAAACTTACAAACAGAAAGGACATCCACACCAAAAACCCATCTGTACATCACCATCATCAAAGACCAAAAGTAGATACAACCACAAAGATGGGGAAAAAACAGAGCAGAAAAACTGGAAATTCTAAAAAGCAGAGCACCTCTCCTCCTCCAAAGGATCACAGTTCCTCAGCAGCAATGGAAAAAAGCTGGGTGGAGAATGACTTTGACGAGTTGAGAGAGGAAGGCTTCAGACGATCAAACTGCTCCAAGCTACAGGAGGAAATTCAAACCAAAGGCAAAGAAGTTAAAAACTTTGAAAAAAATTTAGACGAATGTATATCTAGAATAACCAATACAGAGAAGTGCTTAAAGGAGCTGATGGAGCTGAAAGCCATGGCTCGAGAACTACTTGAAGAATGTGGAAGCCTCAGGAACCGATGCAATCAACTGGAAGAAAGGGTATAAGTGATGGAAGAAGAAATGAATGAAATGAAGTGAGAAGGGAAGTTTAGAGAAAAAAAGAATAAAAAGAAACAAACAAACCTCCAAGAAATATGAGACTATGTGAAAAGACCAAATCTCCGTGTGATGGGTGTACCTGAAAGTGACGGGGAGAATGGAAACAAGTTGGAAAACACTCTGCAGGATATTATCCAGGAGAACTTCCCCAATCTAGCAAGGCAGGCCAACATTCAGATTCAGGAAATACAGAGAACAACACAAAGATACTCCTCGAGAAGAGTGATTCCAAGACACGTAATTGTCAGATTCACCATAGTTGAAAGGAAGGAAAAAATGTTAAGGGCAGCCAGAGAGAAAGGTCGGGTTACCCACAAAGGGAAGCCCATCAGACCAACAGCAGATCTCTTGGCAGAAACTCTAGAAGCCAGAATAGAGTGGGGGCCAATATTCAACATTCTTAAAGAAAAGAATTTTCAACCCAGAATTTCATATCCAGCCAAACTAAGCTTCATAAGTGAAGGAGAAATAAAATACTTTACAGACAAGCAAATGCTGAGAGATTTTGTCACCACCAGGCCTGCCCTAAAAGAGCTCCTGAAGGAAGCACTAAAGATGGAAAGGAACAACCAGTACCAGCCACTGCAAAATCATGCCAAAATGTAAAGAACATCGAGACTACGAAGAAACTGCATCAACTAACTAGCAAAATAATCAGCTAGTATCATAATGACAGGATCAATTTCACACATAACAATATTAACTTTAAGTGTAAATGGACTAAATTCTCCAATTAAAAGACACAGACTGGCAAATTGCATAAAGAGTCGTGATCTAACAATGTGCTGTATTCAGGAACCCATCTCACATGCAGAGACACAAATAGGCTCAAAATAAAAGGATGGAGGAAGATCTACCAAGCAAATGGAAAACAAAAAAAGGCAGGGGTTGCAATCCTAGTCTCTGATAAAACAGACTTTAAACCAACAAAGATCAAAAGAGATAAAGAAGGCCACTACATAATGGTAAAGGGACCAATTCAACAAGAAGAGCTAACTATCCTAAATATATATGCACCCAATATAGGAGCACCCAGATTCATAAAGCAAGTCCAGAGTGACCTACAAAAAAACTTAGACTCCCACACAATAATAATGAGAGATTTTAACAATGCACTGTCAACATTAGACAGAAAAATGAAACAGAAAGTTAACAAGGGTACACAGGAATTGAACTCAGCTCTGCACCAAGTGGATCTAATAGAAATCTACAGAACTCTCCACCCCAAATCAACAGAATATACATTCTTCTCAGCACCACACCACACCTATTCCAAAATTGACCACATAGTTGGAAGTAAAGCTCTCCTCAGCAAATGTAAAAGAAAAGAAATCATAACAAACTGTCTCTCAGACCACAGTGCAATCAAACTAGAACTCAGGATTAAGAAACTCACTCAAGACCGCTCAACTACATGGAAACTGAACAACCTGCTCCTGAATGACTACTGGGTACATAACGAAATGAAGGCAGGAAATAAAGATGTTCTTTGAAACCAATGAGAACAAAGACACAACATACCAGAATCTCTGGGACACACTCAAAGCAGCGTTTAGAGGGAAATTTATAGCACTAAATGCCCACAAGAGAAAGCAGGAAAGATCCAAAATTGACACCCTAACATCACAATTAAAAGAACTAGAAAAGCAAGAGCAAACACATTCAAAAGCTAGCAGAAGGCAAGAAATAACTAAAATCAGAGCAGAACTGAAGGAAATAGAGACACAAAAAACCCTTCAAAAAATTAATGAATCCAGGAGCTGGTATTTTGAAAGGATCAACAAAATTGATAGACCGCTAGCAAGACTACTAAAGAAAAAAAGAGAGAAGAATCAAATAGACGCAATAAAAATGATAAAGGGGATATCACCACCGATCCCACAGAAATACAAACTACGATCAGAGAATACTACAAACACCTCTACGCAAATAAACTAGAAAATCTGGAAGAAATGGATAAATTCCTCGACACATACACTCTCCCAAGACTAAACCAGGAAGAAGTTGAATCTCTGAATAAACTAATAACAGGATCTGAAATTGTGGCAATAATCAAAAGCTTACCAACCAAAAAGATTCCAGGACCAGATGGATTCACAGCCGAATTCTACCAGAGGTAAAAGGAGGAACTGGTACCATTCCTTCTGAAACGATTCCAATCAATAGAAAAAGAGGGAGTCCTCCCTAACTCATTTTATGAGGCCAGCATCATCCTGATACCAAAGCCTCGCAGAGACAAAACAAAAAAAGAGAATTTTAGACCAATATCCTTCATGAACATTGATGCAAAAATCCTCAATAAAATACTGGCAAACCGAATCCAGCAGCACATCAAAAACTTATCCACCATGATCAAGTGGGCTTCATCCCTGGCATGCAAGGCTGGTTCAACATACGCAAATCAATAAATGTAATCCAGCATATAAACAGAACCAAAGACAAAAACCACATGATTATCTCAATAGATGCAGAAAAGGCCTTTGACAAAATTCAACAACCCTTCATGCTAAAAACTCTCAATAAATTAGGTATTGATGGGACATAATTCAAAATAATAAGAGCTATCTATGACAAACCCACAGCCAATATCATACCGAATGGGCAAAAACTGGAAGCATTCCCTTTGAAAACTGGCACAAGACAGGGTTGCCCTCTCTCACCACTCCTATTCCACATAGTGTTGGAAGTTCTGGCCAGGGCAATCAGGCAGGAGAAGGAAACAAAGGGTATTCAATTAGGAAAAGAGGAAGTCAAATTGTCCCTGTTTGCAGATGACTTGATTGTGTATCTAGAAAACCCCATTGTCTCAGCCCAAAATCCTTAAGCTGTTAAGCAACTTCAGCAAAGTCTCAGGATACAAAATCAATTTACAAACATCACAAGCATTCTTATACACCAATAACAAACAGAGTGCCAAATCATGAGTGAACTCCCATTCACAATTGCTTCAAATAGAGTAAAATACCTAGGAATCCAACTTACAAGGGACATGAAATTCCTCTTCATGGAGAACTACAAACCACTGCTCAATGAAATAAAAGAGGATACAAACAAATGGAAGAACATTCCATGTTCATAGGTTGGAAGAATCAATATCATGAAAATGGCCATACTGCCCAAGATAATTTATAGATTCAATGCCATCCCCATCAAGCTACCAATGTCTTTCTTCACAGAATTGGAAAAAACAACTTTAAAGTTCATATGGAACCAAAAAACAGTCCGCATCACCAAGTCAATCCTAAGCCAAAAGAACAAAGCTGGAGGCATCACGCTACCTGACTTCAAACTATACCACAAAGCTACAGTAACCAAAACAACATGGTACTGGTACCAAAATGGAGACATAGATCAATGGAACAGAACAGAGCCCTCAGAAATAATGCCACATAACTACAACTATCTGATCTTTGACAAACCTGCAAAAACAAGCAATGGGGAAAGATTCCCTATTAAATAAATGGTGCTGGGAAAACTGGCTAGCCATATGTAGAAAGCTGAAACTGGATCCCTTCCTTACACCTTATACAAAAATTAATTCAAGATGGATGAAAAACTTACATATTAGACCTAAAACCATAAAAACCCCAGAAGAAAACCTAGGCAATACCATTCAGGACATAGGCGTGGGAAAGGACTTCATGTCTGAAACACCAAAAGCAATGGCAACAAAAGACAAAATTGACAAATGGGATCTAATTAAACTAAAGAGCTTCTGCACAGCAAAAGAAACTACCATCAGAGTGAACAGGCAACCCACAAAATGGGAGAAAATTTTCACAACCTACTCATCTGACAAAGGGCTAATATCCGGAATCTACAATGAACTCAAACAAATTTACAAGAAAAAAACAAACAATCCCATCAAAAAGTGGGCGAAGGACATGAACAGACACTTATCAAAAGAAGACATTTATGCAGCCAAAAAACACATGAAAAAAATGCTCATCACTGGCCATCAGAGAAATGCAAATCAAAACCACAAGGAGATACCATCTCACACCAGTTAGAATGGCAATCATTAAAAAGTCAAGAAATAACAGGTGCTGGAGAGGATGTGGAGAAATAGGAACAGTTTTACACTGTTGGTGGGACTGTAAACTAGTTCAACCATTGTGAAAGTCAGTGTGGTGATTCCTCAGGGATCTAGAACTAGAAATATCATTTGACCCAGCCATCCCATTACTGGGTATATACCCAAAGGATTATAAATCATGCTGCTATAAAGACACATGCACATGTATATTTATTGCGGCAGTATTCACAATAGCAAAGACTTGGAACCAACCTAAATGTCCAACAACAATAGACTGGATTAAGAAAATGTGGCACATATACACCATGGAATACTATGCAGCCATAAAAAATGATGAGTTCCTGTCCTTTGTAGGGACATGGATGAAACTGGAAATCATCATTTTCACTAAACTATCACAAGGACAAAAAAGCAAACACCGCATATTCTCACTCATAGGTGGGAATTGAACAATGAGAACACATGGAGACAGGAAGGGGAACATCACACTTCGGGGACTGTTGTGGGGTTGGGGGAGGGGGAGGGATAACATTAGGACATATTCCTAATGCTAAATGACGAGTTAATGGGTGCAGCACACCAACATGGCACATGAATACTTATGTTACAAACCTGCACATTGTGCTCATGTATCCTAAAACTTAAAGTATAATAATAAAATAAAATAAAATAAAAAAGCAAAATATACACTAATACAGATTAACCAACTAAAAAAAAAGTAGAGAAAGCTCATTTAAAAAATATAAAACATACAGTAATAATCTAACACGTTGAAATCTAAGAAGAAGAAAACAGCTGGTCTGAACAGCATTTTAAGTGGCAATGTTAGAGGTTTTATCAAAATTGACCAATAATATTAAATCACAGGTTCAGGAGGCTTTGCAAACCAAACGAAAACACACACAGAGGACACACCTAGAAACATAATGGGACAATTTCTGAAAAGTAAAATAAAAATGTAAAGAGCACTTGATAAAAAAATTGGGCTAACTATAAAGAGAAAGAGTTGACTGATAACAACCTTGTCAAATGAAACAATGAAAGCCAACAAGTGAGGTATTGATACCTTTCAAGTCCTGAAATAAAATAAGTGCCGTCCTAGAAGTGTCTACTTGGTGGACATATCCATCAAAAGCAAAGATACAATAAAGAATTTATCCCAAGCAGACCCACAGGAAAGGAAATAGTAAAGATTATTCTTCAGGTAGAAGAGCCATGATCCCTGATGAAAGTTTGCAGTTAGAAGAACGCTTTTTTTTTAATGAAAGAAATAAACATAGAGAGAAATTTAATTGGATATCGACGGTATAACAGAATGCTATCTCATAAAGTTTAAAATGTATCTTCCATACAACAGCAGAAGCATGTAAGTTGTGAGTTGGATAATTTAATTTTAAAATATTGTCAAGTTTTTTTGCAAATAGACAAACGTACCAATTATATTAGCCCCTGAATTCAAGAATGCACTTTGTAATAAACCAGTTAAAACACAATCAGACCAGATTTTTAAATAGACTCTCTTAAAGTTTTTATAATTTATATTTATATTTCACATATGTTGAAACTAAATAATGGAAAAGCATGCAATGCAAATATTAACCAAAATATAGCTTTAGTTGTACTTCTATTCACATTTTAAAAGTTGGACACAGTTAAGTCTCAGTGATTTTTTTACACAACGGAGGCAAGCTGTGCAGTTATAACTAGTATTATATTATGCTCTTGGCCTGATTACAGAAGGGAAAGGGGCAATCATACCAGACAATGGCAGAATGGAGCAACAAGGAGTAGAGTTACAGAACATGATGCTGTAACTGGGACTGGAGTTACTCTTTTAGAGTTAAAGAATAGGAAACTGGACAAAATATATGAAACTTTTTTTGAAGTACTGAACATCAGGCAGCACAGTACTGTGCTCCGCAAGAGAAGAGAAGGAGCCAGAATGAGTCCTGCTTTATTCCCAGGTTCTCCGTGACAGCAGTAGAGAGGAATCCCAGGGAGAGAGATATTGTCATTGCACTGAGGAACCAGATAAAAATCAAAAAAGTTAAGCAGCTGGAATGTGTAGTAGAAGAGAACGTTTACAGAAAAAGGAACCAATAATCAGCCTAAGGTTTCTCCCAAGTCCCTAAGTCAAATGTACATAGGATGAAATTCTAAGGAGCTCAGCAAAGGACTCTACCAGGGAGTTGGAAGAAGAATACTTCCCTGGCATCACATAACAGGAAGACATGTTAGCTCTGACCAGCCAGAGAAGGGAATCCCCTCTGTACCTCCAGGATATTCAGTAAAGACCACTGGAGGTTCATGCCCCAGTGACAGTGCTCATTTAGCTCCAAATGACAGATGGCTCTAGACTAACTCAACAAAGTTTAAAGAGAAGATTTAAAACAAAAACAGAAAAATACTCATCCTGAAGTTACTGAACTGCCTGCCCCAAAATTGTTCAAAGGTAGCCAATAAATTCTAGATATTCAATAGCATAATATCAAAATACCCAAAAAAAAACTCTGACATGCAAAGAAGCCGGAAGATATATATTATTAAGATATATATTAACAGGATAAAAATAAGTCATTTGTAAATGACAGAGAAGAAGGAATTTTCAAGGTCCTTAAAGTAAATATATTTTATAAATACATATAGATAAATACATATATATGTCAAAGTAGTTAATTGAAAATTGATCATAGGAGAAAAATAGAAGTTATAAAAAGAAAAATGTGACATGTATAGATGAAAAATAAATATTTGAAATAAAAATTCCATGAGATAGAATAAGTCATGGATTTTTCCCTAACATCAGAAAATTTATGGAAAAAAATAGAAGCTTTACAAACTAAAGGACAAAGGGTAAACTAAAATAAGAAAGCCAGAAACTCACTGTTACGTGAGACAATATGCAGCAGTGTAGCATGAGATTTGGAAGGGGCAAGCATTCAAACCATAGCAAGAGTTAAATTTCCTTTTAAAGAAAATCACTGATATGATTCCATTTCGCCATAGATAAAAACTAGTATTTCAGCCTACCATTGAAGTGTACTTATAGCTAACGGAAAGGGCACTCTGTCTCAGGAATACAGATTTGCCTAGAGGTATCCTATTGCAGTCAAAGAAAGAGCAATGAGGGATAGAAAAGGTTAGTGATGGAGACACCAACGCTGCATTTTACAACAAACAATGTAAAAACTTTACGGATTGGTTCTGCTAACTTACTACAGTTTACATTCCTCTCAGGTGGGAGAATTGTTGAGTATTTTCTTAAGACAGAAAAGCAATTCAGATAATCTGAAATCTCCACAAGAAGGATAAGAAGCACAGCAGAAACTATTCTAGGCAGGAAGTCAATCCATTCAACTGTCTGTGCTCCATAGAAACAATTGTCTGCACTGGGAGTCATATGAGGTACAAACAACAGCCAGACCTCTGATCTTCTCATTAGTGATTTCAGAAGAAATTGCCAGTCAGCTGAGTAATTCACTTAGTAAAGTAAACATTTGGCACTGACAGAGGTTAGACGGATAGCTATTTGTATCACCATATTCATGAAGCTGGAATATTTTCCATTACTGATATCACATCTGAATGGAAGATGTTAAAAGGTCTCTCATCTTGTAAGATGGATATGAAAGAACATTTTTTGAGAAATGAAATTATTCACACACCAGCGAGGTGGATGGAAGAGAAAACAAAAGAATAATCAGCTTGAGTTCTCCTTGATAAGACAACTCACTAAAAACATAAAGAGAAAAATACAAGTTTAAAATAATTAACCAGAAGAAGACGACTCTAGATTTTTAAAATTGCTGATAAGATTTTAATTTGCTCCAAGTTGAAAATAACTATATTGCTTGTGTTTTAAGGTACATAATGAGCAATTATATCACACATGATAGATTCAGCAGTAAAATATTATCCGTTAACAGCTGGAACTCATAAAAGCATAGCACAATGTGAAGATGGAATTTGCTAAAATAAACCATCTGCTGAAAAATACTATTCTGCAAATTTAAAAATAAAGTTTAAATGTTATTTGTCTTATTTAATAGGTCTGTGAAAAAATGCGATATTTGAAAAGTAGGTGCTACCTTAATTAGTTCTTTATATTAGACAGCTGGTTACAGTAATGCACAGTAAGGTGTTACATAGAAATATTGCTAAATTTTCTGCATATACTATGTATTTAGTTAAATTATTTGAAATTTTATAGTTAAAGTAACAAATGTATATTTAAATGTTTTGACACAAATTACAAATATACGTTTAAAAAGCATCTTACACTCTAAATATTATTTGTCACCTATATATTTGTCTTTTCTCTATAGGAAAGTTTAAATTTTTCCCTTGAAGCTTTAATTATTTGAGTCTATCAAACAAATTGATAATGTACAAACTAACAGGAAAAAATGTTTACAAATATAATTATGTGCACAAGTACGCACTTGGAGTTTACATAATATACATAAATATATATATACAAATATTTTTATATTATAAATCAATATACAAATATATACTATATATGTATAAAAACTCCAGGAAAGGCAAGGTAGTCAACACGCCTATGTTGTCTTGAGATTACAGAAAACACAGAGCTGTACTTTGGTAAATCAGGCTTTGCAGAAGGCAGGTGATGACAAGGAAGAAAGAGGAGCCTGGCAGCAGAGGTGGTCTTGTTACATGGATGAAACCTCACAGGGAGCAGCCCTCCTCTTGGGAAGTAAAGATAGGAAATGGTTTTTAGAAATGTAAACGTGCCAGACTCAGTTAATCTTTCCTAAACCCAGACAAGGGAGTATCTCAGGGAAAGCCTGTCTATATCAATGCAGATTTTCTCTACAAATGCAAATCTCCCCAACAAACACAGCTTTTCAGCTATTCTTGTAGAAGAAGCTATTTCCAGTCTTCCGAGTAGCCATCTTGAAATACATCAAAAAGTTGGCCAGGCGCACGCCTGTAATCCCAGCACTTTGGGAGGCTGAAGTGGGTAGATCACCTGAAGTCAGGAGTTCAAGACCAGCCTGACCAACATGGTGAAACCCCGTCTCTACTAAATACAAAAAATTAGTCGAGTGTGGTGGTGCATGCCTGTAATCTCAGCTACTTGGGAGGCTGAGCTAGGAGAATAACTTGACCTTGGGAGGCTGAGGTTGCAGTGAGCCAAGATTGTGCCATTGCACTCCAGCCTGGGCAATAAAAGCAAAACTCCATCTCAAAAAAAAAAAATGTATTTTAGGGTAATATTTTGAGTATCTTTATCTCCATATGTACAATAAATATTATTGTAATTTTTAATCTTTACTCTTCTGTGGAGAAAACATAGGTGTGATTGCTAGTGTAGCTGAACATCACGTTTATTTGACAATATTGCACTTGTGTGTGGGTGTGCGTACAGCTACTCTTTACATTAGTTCTCAGGTAATGATTAGAGATTAACAATTAATTCAGTAAAATGTATGTTTTGCAATATTTCTCCATGTTATTATGTTTTAAATTAGTTTAATCATGCCCCTATAATGTGTATATTTTAACCTTTGACTATAGGTCTCAATCTTACTTTGGTTCCTGTATTTGAATTTATGCTAATAAGGTTCTACAGCTAAAAAGGGTTATATAAACTTATCTACATTTTTACTAGTATTCTGGTGTCATTTTAAATTATGTAATGAAATCAAATTTTAATTTGGATTATTGTTATCTGAGTTAAGGATCTAAATTTTTAATTTTCTTATAAATATTACATAATTATTTCTGAACCATATATTGACTAATGTGCCCTTTATGTGATGTGCATTGTAAGAGCTTGGGATTGATTCCTTTGCAAAGATGAATGCTTGAGAAGTAGATATTTAATCATAACATTTCAAAATCTACTGGATAACCTAGAATGGAAAAATAGCCTATAGGTTGAAAAACTCCTGTAGCGAAGAAAGAAAATAACTAATATACAGTGACAATATAAATACTATAAGTATTTATTTTATTATCGCCCTGAAATTTGATAATACAAACATGTAATATCTACATATCATCCATATATCCGGTCATAAAAAATCAATACATTCTTCAAAAATTTAGCATAACAGAAAATACACTCTCTCTCCTTGATGGAATTAAGTTACAAATAAAAGTAAAAATAAGTAGATAAGTAGATGGAAGTAGATGTTTAAAAACAAAGAAAAATATTTGTTTTGGATAACATAAAAACTCAATTGACTATTCCAATATTTCAAGAATTTTGGCTGTCAACTGGTGGAGAGTTTTCCCCAGGAGACAATTGTCAATGTCTAGGGTTATTGTGGGGATGTCAAGACTGGTGGAAGTGTGAAATTTAGAGGTCAAACGAAACACCTAGCATTGCTAGGGCAGCCTCCTACAACAAAGAATCCTCTAGTCCTAAAGATAAGTAGCACCAAGGTTGAGAAACCATAATCTAGAAAGTAAACACTATGCAGCTATTCCAAGTGCTCAGGAAAACACATCAATGCCCTCGAGGGGAAAAGGGTAAACATTTTAATTGTTGTACATGGTGACACAAATCCATGTTGTTAATGTAAGTGGAAGGGGCTGAAGCACAAAACGTAATTCAAAGAGTTTACTTGATCCAAAATGAGGACAGCTACCTGGAAGAAACAGACCCAAGTTTCCTTGGATATGAACTCCATTTGGAGCTTTGCAACAAGCAGTTTCTTAAAGGCAAAAAAGGGTCCAGAAGTGGGATGATGCAAAGAGGTTTGTCATAAATTCTCATTGGCTTATGGAAATAACATTTATTAGTGACTGGCTATACACTGTTACACCATTATTGGGTGTGGATTATAGTGTCTGGTGTGACATTATTTGTTAATTTATAGCTACTGTGGCAACAGCAAGCAGCCTAGATGCTCAAAGAGGAGCAGGACAGAACTGCTGTCTCATTTGAATATCTCTCTGGGCCTGATTATTTAAAAGGACTTGCATTTCTCACATGAAAGTTATTTTCTTTTCTCAATGTCCATAAATGAGAATAAATAGACATAAAATAGATCTTTTTGAGGATGAAGTAAATGGAATAAAAAACAAAACCCAAGCTGTACAGAAATCATAGAGGGAAGAAAAGGTTATAAATATATGGAGTTTTCAAAGTGATTTTAAGCTATTAGGAACCAATTAAATGTTGGGGGAATTTGTCTGAGTATGGGCTAAAGGAGAATGTCCCTTTTGCCTTCTGAAGTTTCCCTGAAAATCACTAATAGGAGTCAGATAAATAGTAGAAAAGGCATACAGGTTTCTGCAATGTGCGTACACTGGAGCCCTTAGAATGAAGACCCAGACCCAGCAGAAGCTTATCTACCACATGAAGTTTACAGAAAGAATGGGGTCTTGGATCACAGGGAAAAAAAAAAAAAGTTATGTGAGAAAACGACCCTGGCTAGCAACAGTGGACTTATTACGTAGGTGAAACCTCACTGGGAGCAGTCCTCAGAGAGAATAGACAGAAAATGTTTCTTTCAGACCTTTGGAGACCTCAGACGCTCAGTTAAACTTTCCTAGATCCAGACAAGGGAGCAGATCTCAGAGAAAGCCTGGCTGCATCAAGGCAGATTCTCTACCGATGCAAATCTCCCCAAGACAGCTTTGCAGCTATGTTTGCATTTCCAGCCCTTCTGAATAGCCATTTTGAAATATATCAAGGAAATATATTTTGGGATAAAATATATTAATTTCCTTCATACAGCTATAAAACATGCAGGAATAATTTTTCTCAATGTCTACTACAAATACAATATAGCAGTAATTATAAAACCCACCAGATACTGAAGAAAAAATATGTAAAGTACATCACTTACAAATATTGATACTAAAATGCCAAATAAAAAATAATATCCAACAATATTTGAAACAGTAAGACAAGAAATTGGCAAAAAAATAAAACAAATATCCACCTTGGGGATGAAAGTGTGATTCCAAATTTGGTAATCCAATAATATTAATAATCATATTGATTAGCCCAAATAAAAAATAGGGGATTCTCAGTACACGCTAAAACATATTTGTTAAAAGGTCATATTCACGTCTTTAATGATTTTAAATACTATAAAGAGTCTGATATTCTATATGCAAACATGTGTATGTCCATTAGAAGAACAGAGGCCTGATTTTCATATGTTACTACATAGAGGTAGAGAAGTGGATAGATTAATTTGCATATGCATAGAGAAAGCATAAAATAGTAATTTACTATCATACTTAAAGGAATTTAAATTCAACAATAAAATAATTCAAAGGTACAATTTTAAATACTTTTAACAGTTACATTATTAATTAGATAATATTTATAATAATTGTGAAAATATTCAATGCTAAAATAAGATAGAATGTCTAAACATCAGTATTAAAACTAGTGTAAATATTTGCTTGTTTATACAAGGAAAATTCAAGCTCAACCTAAAATTATATAGGAAATAAAAAAATTTTAAGGGAGCTCTTTAACACAAACATATATATATACACACACATATAACATGCATATATGTTATATGGGATAGATATAGATTTAACATGTTATATCTATACTTGTATCTATCTATAACTACAGCTGTATGTATCTACATTTCTATATATTTACTCAGTGATATAAATATAGAGTGGAATAAATATAAAAACACGTATGATTCTTGGATAAAAAGGATTTAGTATCATAAAGACAAATTCTTTCCAAATTCACCTACGAATCCACAACAATATACAGTTTCATTAGTATAATTTAAAATTTTTAAATAAATTCCAAGATTTATTTAAAGGAATATACATGTATACCAGCAGTAAAGAAAGAAGCAAGAATGCACTAAACTAACTTGCTATTAAAATACATTTTTAAACTTAGCAACTAAAACTGAGCAGTAATGATTTGGAGTACTGGAATTTAGGTATATGTGATCTCAAAAGCATAGAGCTCAAAGGAGACCCCTGTATGCACGAGAGTTTAGGATGTGCTTTAGAAGGCATTACCAAACCACGGGCAAAGTTACTTTGGTGTCTTAGTCTTACTAGGTTTGAAAAGCCAGAGAAAAGACTCAAGGCCACCATATAAGAGCAAAATAAAAGGACAGGGAGAGAATGTGAAGATACTGAAACATTTTACATAAAGTTTTATAAAACATACTTTAAAGAAAGTGTAAGGTTTAGGATACACATCAAAATCAGCAGAACCACTAAATAAATAAATAGGCATTCTAAAATAGCAAGAGAAAATTTAAATGAATTTCTAAAAAATATTGACACCTATGATTTTTAAAATATGTTTCAGATATCCCGTATTTCACAGGGCAGCCTTTCACAACATAGATATATTAGGACATAAAGGCTCTTCTGTTTTTAATTTACTAGTGTTTATAGGGTTAAAAATGTCTTCTACCTCTGTCTTTTGTCTGATGGTGCAAAAAACTTTCATAAGCATGTACTTCTGAATGCCTGATGGATTGACATATATAATATGCTGCTAGTATTAAATTATATGACGGAAAACGCATCCAATCTTCTCACTGTTTACATAAATTCTAGGTTTCTCCTATTTACCTCAAGCACGTATGGAGCGAATTCTTACCTTTTAATATTGCCATGGCATTCACATTGAACATAAGTTGAACTCTCTCATATGGTAGCTGGGTTCAGATTCCCTTGACAATTTCCAGTTCTAACCCTCACAGTTCCTCAGTGTGGCTGGCCCAGATATTGACCCTACACAGCTGCCTCCTCCTGGTGACTAGCCGCTGTGGAACCGTTGGATACAACCTACCTGACTCACCCCACAGACCTCACAGCCCACATGGACAGCCCCCACACGCCAGAGTGACCTGCTCAGTTGCAGCTGCAGCCAAAAAATGTGCCTGCTGGCACTCACCCCACTGACCAGAGCCCCGTGGAAAATTTATTTGGGTAATGTTCTGGGCCGAATAAAGGCTAGAGTCCCACAGACCCCTTTTATCTCTCTTGCTCCCCACTCATCTTCTCCATTTTGTTCAGCCCTATGAGGTGTGCTACTGTATTAGTCCATTTTCACACTGCCGGTAAAGACATGCCCAAGACTGGGTAATTTCCAGAAGAAAGAAGTTCAATAGATGCACAGTTCCACATGGCTGCATAGGCCTCACAATCATGGTGGAAGGTGAAAGGCACGTCTCATGTGGCAGCAGACAAGACAAGAGAGCTTGTGCAGGGGAAACTCCCCTTTATAAAACCATCAGATCTTGTGAGACTTATTCACTCTCAGAAGAACAACATGGGAAAGTCCTGCCCCCATGATTCAATTTCCTCCCACCTGTTCCCTCCCACAACATGTGGGAATTCAAGATGAGATTTGGCTGGGGACACAGCTAAACCCTCTTCTCAGCTACCCTCTTCTCTCTGGGTCTGTGAGTAATAAAACTACTTCTGTGATTTCCCATGTTTGGTCCTGTGGCCTCCATGTGCCTGAGCTGACCTACACTGGAACCTAACTCTCCTCCTGGTCAGGGTCTCTAAGAGTGGCTCTTGTCAGAAATACACAGGACACAGGTCAGGCAACAGCCACCAGGCATCTCCTAGTCTCTACAGATGTTCTGTGAGACGGAGGCCTGGTCGTGGGATGCACACCTGGCCACTGCTGGGGTAAGGAAGTGTCCTGTGAAAGGCACATGTTAAGCTTCCACAACCTCCTGACCAGAACCTGAGAAAGGCAGGGCTCCAATTGACAGTCACTCTCCAGAGACAAACCTCAAGCCCTAACTGGAGGAAATGAAAACAATGTAAAAATCTGAATTATCTTACTATTTGAATGATCCAGTAAAGACATTCTATGCCTGTACACCACATATTTTCTTCGATTGTGGATATATTTTAGATAGAATTCTATGTCGGGCTTTCACTTTAGCCTGGTCCCTACCTCAAGCATAAGGTAAAGATTTTCCATGGGTTCTTTTCTGGTACTACTACCTGCCAGTGTGAGGTCATGTCCTAGTCTATCTTGAGGGAACCCCCCTATTCATTATTGTCAGAGTGAGACTGTTAAGTCTTGATTTCCCTGGACATCTTCATTGCATGACTTTTAATATGATTTTTAAATATACCCTTTACTGGACAATAAATTATATAGTTATCTGAGTAAGATGTATGGTCAGGAAGAGGCATTGCCTCATTCAGCTTTTCTCTTTGGTGAACTCGCATATGTTCTCTTCATCCACCAGTCACCTCTAAACTGTATTGTTCCAAGACAACAAACAGAACTCGAGTGTGTATCTTTCACCACTGGATTTGTCTTTGCTCCATAAAGCTTAATGCTTAATAGGGTTTCTGTTGATGGAAAGTAAAACATACGTTTAAAATATCAGTAATGATGTTTTCCCCTCCTTTTTAGCACATGTGCTTGTGAGAGTCATTGTAATACAATTCTAGTCTCATGCTTTGATCATTCCTAAGATGAAAATAACATTTTTAGATAAAATATCTGAGTTTTATGAGGCCTTTAGTATATGATGTAATAGAATATCAGAAGACCATATTTTTTCTAGTTTTCCATGCAATTCTATCATTGTTTCACCTTTACTCCTACGAAAGTAATTTTCCAAAACAGATATCTTGTCATTCTTCTTGTTGTTATCAGTACATAAGTGAAATGAAAAGCTAGATTATGTAATTTATCTAGAACAAGAAAGTAGAATTGAGTCTATATTCATTAATGAGACTAACCAGTCAATTTCACAGATAGGCATTTTACATTTTGAAGATCACATGGATCCATTGTCAGATATATTATTATTTATGCCTATATGGACATCACCGGTGCATATTTATGTAGAAATCAATGAGAGCTGATTTTTATTTTTATTATATATATTTTTTGAGATAGGGTCTTGCTTTGTTGCCCAGGCTGGAGTGCAGTGGTGCAATCACTGCTCACTGCAGCCTCAGCCTCCCAAGCTCAAGCAATCCTTCCACCTTGGCCTCCCAAATAGCTAGGACAAAAGGTGCACATCACCATGCCCACCTTTTTTTTTTAACTTTTGTTAGAGACTGGGTCTTGCTATGTTGCCCAGGTTGCTTTTGAACTCCTGGGCTCAAAGAATCCGCTCATTTCAGCTTCAACTGCTGGTATTACAAGCATGAGCCACCATATCGGCTGGAAGCTGGTTTTTAAAATACTGAGATCATATAGATAACAGCACCTGAAAAATAGACAACACCAAGCTTTATGTGAAAAGGTGTGAGGGTATCAATATTGTTGTGGCTATTGGGGAGGAAAACATCAGTAAAACCAGTGAGTTAAAGCTGTTGCTTTAAACTTTGGCTTTAATTTAACAAATGTTCTCTGGGGTGACAGTATGTATGTAACCATGCTATGCCCATTCACAGATGCAGTAGAGTGAAGAATTTCTTAAAGACAACTGTTCTAAGATTGAAACTAAACCATACTGGGTTTGAAAAGAGAAAGTCCAAGAATTATCAAGTATTTTAGATATCAGATAAAAGAGAATGCCAGGTATGCGATGATAATCAGCAATGGTTGTTCACACAATACATCAAATCAGTGTTTGAATTAGCTTTTGAATTATAAGGACAAATGGATGAAGTCTTGACTCTTTAGTAGATAAATCTTGTTAGACTGAGATGTGTTTTCCCCTCTTTTTCCACAAGGAGATTACAAATTCGCAAACCTCAGCTGCTCTCATTTTATGCTCTCACCAAGCCAAAAGCTGAAGTTCATCAATCAGTGTGTCTAAGTGTTCACTAGTTATATACCATTTTGTAGTTTCAGCTATCTTTCCAACTTCCTAAATCATCACCTTCATTTGACCTTGTTTTTTTCCACTATCACTTCTTTATTGACCATATAAAGAATATAAATAAGTGCTTATTTTGTTATTGTTCATGTTAGTCTAATTTCATCAAAATATCATAATCCTTTAATTTCATTTTAATTTCAAACATTAAATGAAACCTACATAGAAATGAGTGTAAGATTTGCATTTGCGTTATTTTGGCATCAATTTGCTATCCTCCCTCATACACCTAGTGATCATTTCCATGTATGTGATTTCAAACATCCAAGTGCAGTATTAAAAGCAGTTGTAAATTATGGTTCTCATTTTCGTGATACAATTACTATATAAACTTCCTCTTGCTGCTGTAACCAATTACCACAAACTTCATATCTTACAATAAAGTGACTGGTAATCCTACAGTACTGGAGCTCAGAAGCCTTAAATGAGACTCACAGGGCTAACATCAAGATTTGGGCAGGGCTGCAATCTTTCTGAGGGCTCTGTGGCAACATCTATGTACTTGATTTTTTTCAGCATCCAGAGGCCACCTTTATTCTTTGGAACATGACCTCATTCTTATATCTTTTTTTTTTTCTTGAGATGGAGTCTCCTTCTGTCGCCCAGGCTGGAGTGCAGTGGCATGATCTCAGCTCACTGCAACCTCTGCTTCCCGTGTTCAAGTGATTCTTCTGCCTCAGCTTCCTGAGTAGCTTAGACTACAGGCACGTGCCACCATGCCCAGTTATTTTTTTGTATTTTTAGGAGGGATGGGGTTTCACCATGTTAGCCAGGATGGTGTCGCTCTCCTGACCTCGTGATCCACCCACCACAGCCTCCCAAAGTGCTGGGATTAGGCGTGAGCCACCGCGCTGGGTCCTCATTCTTGTATCTTAAAAGTCAGTGATGTTGAGTAATTTCTCATGCCACCACCTACATGGTTGCCTTTCTTCTGCCTTCTTCTTTCACTTATAAGGAAGCTTGTGATTTCATTGATCCCAACCATTTAAGAAAATCTCTCCATCATTTTATTGCAACCTTAATTTCACTTGAAATCTAATTTCCCACTGCCACACAACCTAACATATTTGTGTGTTAGACTCTGGGAATTAGGACATGAACATTTTTGGGAGGCCATTCTTTTTTCTACAGCAGACATAATCTATTTACCTGCAGATTAAAGTGTTCTTTATTTTTCTGCCTCCCTCTCTTAATTTTCTTAAAATAATAAGAATTGTAGTAAAGGAAAGAAAGAAAGAAAAGCAAGGAAAGAAGGAAAGAAGGAAGGAAGGAAGGAAGGAAGGAAGGAAGGAAGGAAGGAAGGAAAGAAAGAAAGAAAAGGAGGAAATGAGAGAAGAAAGGAAGGGAGGGAGGGAGGAAGGCAAGAAGGGAGAAAAAAGAAAGCAAGAACACAAGAAAGAAAGACAGAAAGAAAGAAAGAAAGAAAAAAGAGAGAGAAAGAAAGGAGGAAGAGAGGAAGGAAATGAGGAAGAGAGAATGGTAAAAGGGAGGAAGGCAAAGAAATAAAGAAAATAAAGAGGAAAAGGAAGGAAGTAAGGAAGGAAGAAAGGAAAAAGGAGGAAAGGAACTGAGGGAGGAAGGAAGAAAAGGAAAGAGGAAGGGAGAAAAAAGAAAGAAAGCAAGAAAGTGAGAAAGAAAGAATAAGAGAAAAGAAGGGAGGGAGAAAGGAAGGGAGGGATAAAGGAAGGGAGGGAGGAGGGAAGGAAGAATAAGGAGAAAGAAAGAAGGAAAGAGAAAAAAGAAAAGAAAGAAAGGAAAAGAGAAAAGAAAAGAAAGAGGAAAAGAAGAAAGGAAGGAAGAAGGCAAGGGAAGGGAAGAGAAGAGAAAGGAAGATGGAAAGAAGGAAGGAAGAACGCAAATATTAGAAATTCTGGGTTTGTTAGAGAATATGCCATACTGTTTTTTTTTCCCTTGAAAGGAAAGAGTATCTGCCATTGAAGATTGGATGTCTTGTTGATGATATTGTTCTTATCTTCCACATGATTACTGAGTTTGTGCCTAGTCTTTCCATTACTAAGACAAAAGTGTTGAAGTCTGCAAATATAATTTTGGATTTTTCTAGTTCACCTTTGATTTCTTTCCTGTTTTACCTCATGTATTTGGAGGTTCTGTTGTTAGCTGCATACCCTAATTAGTAGGATGTTTACATCTTGAGAATTCATTATTATATTATTTATTATCTCTCATCTCTGATACTATTCCTTGTTCCGAACTCTGTTGTGTCTAATATCAATGTAGTCCTTCCACAGCTTTATTTTAGTGTTTCCATGATATGGCTTTCTCCATATCTTGATGATAACCTATTTATATCTCTATGTATTTGGAGCAAGATATAAAATTTAGAGTTGATATTTTAAAGATTTTTCAAGATGGAATTCTTATTTATTTTTGTTCTATTTGACATTCTCTGAGTTTCCTATATCTGAAGTTTGATTTTCTGTCACTTCTTTTAGAATATTTTTGGCAGTTATTTTGAAATATATTTCTTTTGCTCCATTATTTTTTCCTCTATTCTTTTTGGGATTTCAATTATAACTAGGGTAGGTAATTTCATCTCAGTCTTATGCAGGTACTTTTTCTCAGGGTCTCAGGAATGTAGCCTTCTCACACCTCTGTTCTTTTCCTGGCTGTGTTGGTGAGCTCAGTGATATTCCTCCTTCACCTTCAAGAGCAGTTTTGTTTTGTTTTTCCTGTTTTCATACTCCCAGCATCAGGAGTATTCTAAGTGTGGCAGTTTTTGTTGCCTTCCCCTACATATTAAGTGGAATATCTTGGTCTATTCGGACTCTTATAACAAAATAACATAAACCGGGTGACTAAAAAACAACAGATATTTCTTTTTCACACTTCTTGAGGCTGTAAGATCTCAGGTCAAGATGCTCACAAATTCAGTGTTGATGAGAGCCCATTTCATGGTTCATAGATGGTGCCTTCTTTCTATGTCCTCACATAGTGGAAGGCACACAAGAACTCCATTGAGCTTCTTTTATAAAGGCACTAATCCCATTCACAAGGGCTCGGCCCCCAAGACCTGGTCACCTCCCAAGTGTTCTGCTCTCCCTGATCTGTATCATATACAGACTCTCTTGGATTCCTTACCAATTGCTTGAGAGATCACAGTGGGTTTGTGGGGAAAAAGTTTTCAAGATGATGGATCTTTCCCAACTTCTGCAGCTGTCAGCGGTCTCCCAATCTCACCAGCCCCACTTTGTCTTTAGGAATTTATTGATTATTCCAGCTTTACTTGTCATAGTGGTGTCTATTTGTATCTGTCCTATGTAAGTGCATCTGTCCTTTTTCTCCTTGCAGGTGCAAGTACTCAGGAGTACACTGTTGTTACTAATTACTCAGTATTGGTTGGTACATTGTCAAAGATCAAAAAACATTTTTAAAGATAAAAAAAATTCTTGGAAGTTGTGTAATGAAGGGTTAATTCTGCAGACATGGCTTTCCAAAACCTTGCACATTCCAAAGGTCTTCAGGACTGGCCCTTGACAAGCTCCTGGGAGATGATAACCTATGAGCCCTTGGTATATGCTGCCGGATGAGAGTCTTTGTATACCTGAAAACGTAGGTCATATCAAATAGCTGATGCTAACAACGTGATTTCTTGTGAGCACCTGTTTCTGTATGCCTATGACTTTGTGTAATGCCATATTAATATGACCTCTCTTAGGGCATAGGGAGGTTGGGAATTAAGTAGCTAAGTTCAGTCACAGGACACTCGATGCATATGTGGTGGAATCCTAATAAAAACCCTGGACTCAAGACTGACTGAGCTTCCCTAGTTGGCAACAAGTTCACACATGTTGTCTCACACCATTGTAAAGAAAATTAGTCAGTGTGAAGTCCCCACTATGAAAGGACACCTGTAAGCTCACATCTGGTTTGTCCTGGATTCAACTTTATGTGCTTTTATGCTTCTGATTATTTTAATCAGGTTACTTTCACTGTTAGAAACTATAACCACAAAAAAAATCAGCTTCTTGAGTTATGTGAATCATTAAACCAAAGGGGGACTTGGGGACCCCCAATAAAAAGTATATATATTCTTAAAAAGAAAAAGAAAACTGGCTACAGCAGATATTGCTGATGACTTGTCTTCTATGTCCTGGACTCAACGTGTTCACCTGAAATTCACCTGTTTCCAGCTAACTGAGAGCTCCCCACATCATGCCTGTCTTTCTGATTTTTGGACCTGCCTGCAAGCTTCTTGAGGCTAACCAGTGCTTCTCTACCACACATAGGAACAAAGAAGGAGTTGGGGTGGAGAGTTAATGATTCTAAGGCAATCCTTAAGCAATAAGAGATGGGGATTCCAGCATCCCCATCTCTTTGTAAAGTTATTTTGAGACAATCTCCATACCTCCATCATTACTGAGCACATAGCAGTAACTACTCATTCACACTGGCTTCGTGTTCTGTTTCATTTTCTCCACTTCTGTGCTTTCTCACTCAATTTCTGATTAAAGTACCTGACCCCAGATATTTGTTTCATAGTCTATTTTTGAGGGAATCCAGAGCCAAGACAATAACAATGGGAGCTTTGAAATGAGGGAGGGTGAGTATAATCATCAGAAGTTTACCTACCTCACTGGGAACGTGAAGGCCTGGAGAGCTTGCTGTTTCAGTGAGAGAAACATGTTGAATGCCTATATATATATATGTGCAATAAGACGTGCCCTTTACTTATATCAAAGGAAAGTGCTCTTTACCTCTCTTTGTTGTTGTGTTTTTATCACTATTGCCTACACAAGCAGAATATCATACCCAGGATTTAAAGCCCTCTCTGCAGGATTTTCAAGCTCATGTTTTTATCATAAGTCACTCTGCTTCCATGTGTTTTAAATCTAATCCTCATTCCTCTGCTTTTACACCAGAGAATTCATCACTGACTTATTTTTGACTGACCTCCTTATAGAGCTGTCAAGTACACAATTTCTGCTGTGACCTTTCTCTTAGAGTTCAGTCATATAGCCTCTCACTAGATATCATTTCCTCTTATCTTTCCTAATAATGAATTGTCAGTTAAAACTCAATATTTTTAAGATTGAGCTTACCATCTGCACACACACACACACCATTATTGGTGTATTCTCATAGCCTTGAAACACTAATGTCACGTTGATGTCTGCCTTTTCTTTCTCTGCTACCTCATTCCTCATCCTTAGATTATTCTAAAAGATTCAACTAGATCAAGTTGGCTAATTATATTTTTAAGATCCTCTCTACCCTTACCAACTCTTCGTTTAACAAAATTTAAAAATTTCTGGCAGGAGACTGTTGAAATCCCCATGGATGACTGTGGTTTTACTATTTTACCTTTCAGTTTTAATAGGTTTTATATTATGTATTTTGAAGTACTGCTATTGTGTGCATACATATTTCTTATTTACATGACCTCTTGGTGTATTTTCCCCTTTGTCATTTTGAAATGTTATTCTTCATCCCCAGTGATATTTCCTGTTATGATGTCTGCTTTGCTTATCACAGTTTTAGGGGGTTTTGGCTTGTGTGTTTTTCTATTTTTTGGATCAAGTAAGTTTCTTAAAAATCTGTTTGATTCCATTTGATGATTCCATTTGATCCCATTCGAGGATTCCACTCGATTCCATGCGATGATGATTCCATTCGAGTCCATTTGATGATTCCATTCGATTCCATTCGATGATGATTCCATTAGAGTCCATTCGATGATTCAATTTGATTCCATTCGATTCCATTCGATGATGATTCCATTAGAGTTCATTCGAGGATTCCATTCGATTCCATACGATGATGTTTCCATTCGAGTCCATTCCATGATTCCATTCGAGGCCATTCGATGATTCCATCTGATTCCATTCAATGATGACACAATTCGAGTCCTTTCATTGATTCCATTCGATTCCATTCTATGGTGACTGCATTCGGTTCCATTCGATGATGATTCCAACGGATTCCATTTGATTTCTCCATTCGATTCCATTCCTTGCTGATTCCATTCAATTCCATTAGATGATAACTCCACTAGATTCCATTTGATGATGATTTCATTAGATTCCTTTCGATGATGATCCAATTCGATTCTATTCAATGATGATTCTATTCGATTCCATTCAATGATTTCATTCGATTCCATTCAAAGATTGCATTTGATTCCATTCGATGGTGATTCCATTCGTGTCCAATCGATGATTCCATTCGATTCCATTCGATGATGATTCCATTTGAGTCCATTCGATGATTCCATTCGATTCCATGCAATGATGATTCCATCGAGTCCATTCGATGATTCCATTTGATTCCATTAGATGATGACTGCATTCGGTTCCATTTGATGATGATTCTAGCGGACTCCATTCGATGACTCCATTCGATTCCATTCATTGATGATTCCATTCGATTCCATTTGATTATGATTCCATTCAATTCCATTCAATGATGATTCCATTGGATTCCATTTGATGATTCCATTTGATTACATTCGATGATGATTCCTTTTGGGTCCATTCGATGATTCCATTCTATTCCCTTAGATGATGACGCCATTCGATTATTCCATTCAACTCCATTTGATGTTTTCTTTTGATTCCACTCAATGTTGATTCCATTTGAGTCCATTCTATGATTCCATTCGAGTGCATTCCATGATTTCATTTGATTCCATTCGATGATGATTCCATTTGATTCCATTCGATGATTCCATTTGATTTCATTCTATGATGATTGCATTAGATTCCATTCGATGATTCCATTCGAGTCCATTCTATGATTCCATTCGAGTCCATTAAATGATTCCATTCGATTCCATTCGATGATGACTCCAATCGAGTCCATTCAATGATGATTCCATTTGATTCCATTCGATGATTCTGTTGGATTCCATTCTTTGTTTTATTTTGATTCGTTTTGATGATGATTCCATTCAGTTTCATTCGATGATCCCATTGGATTCTATTCGATGATGTTTCCATTCGATTCCATTTGAAGAAAATTCCATTCAATTCCATTGATGATGATTCCATTTGATTCTTTTCGATGCCGATTCTATTCAATTCCATTCGAAGATGATTCCAGTCAATTCTATTCAATGATTAAATTCGATTCCATTCGATGATGATTCCATTCGAGACCATTCAATGATTCCATTCATTTCCATTCAATAATGATTCTATTCGAGTCCATTCGATGATTCCATTCAAGTACATACGATGATTCCATCTGATTCCATTCAATGAATCCATTCGATTCCATTCTATGATGCTTCCATTCGTTTCCATCCGATGATGATTCCATTCGATTCCATTCAATGACTCCATTTGATTCCATTTGAAGATGATTCCAATCAATTCCATTCGATGATTCCATTCGAATCCATTAGATGATGAGTCCATCCATTTCAATTTCATGATAATTCTATTCGTTTCAATTCGATGGTTTTTCCATTCAATTCCATTTGATGTTGATTCCATTAGTTTCCATTGGATGATGATTCCATTCGAGTCCATTCGATGATGATCACATTCAATTTCATTCCATAATTCTATACGATTCCATTCGGTGATGATTCCATCTGATTCCATTTGATGATTCCATTCGATTCCACTCGATGATGATTCAATTCATTTCCATCCGATGATGACTCCATTCAATTTCATTCGATGATGATCGCATTCGAGTCCCATGGATTATTCCATTCCATTCGATTCGATGATTCCATTCAAGCCCATTCGATGATTCTCTTCGATTCCATTCGATAATCTCCGTTTGATCTCCCGTTTGATGTTGATTCCATTTCAGTCCATTCAATGATAATTCCATTCGATTCTGTGCGATGATTCCATTCGATTCCATTTGAAGATGATTCCATTCGAGACCATTCAATGATTCCATTCAATTCATTTGATGACGATTCCATTCAATTCCATTCAATGAATCCATTAGATTCCATTTGATGATGAATCCATTCAATTCCATTCGATGATGATTCCATGCAATTCCATTTGATGATGACTCCTTTCGTTTCCATTCGATGATGATTCCATTTGATTCCATTCAATGATGATTCCTTTGGATTCCATTTGATGATGATTCCATAAAATTCCAATTGATGATGATTCTTTTTGATTCCATTCAATGATGATTCCACTCGATTCCATATGATAATGATTCCATTTGATTCCACTCGATGATTCCATTTGATTCCATTCAATGGTTCCATTCGATTCCATTCAATGATGATTCCATTCGAGTTCATTGATTATTCCATTCCATTCCATTGGATGATTCCATTCGAGTCCATTCAATGATTCTATTCAATTCCATTTGATAATTCCATTCAATTCCATTGGATGATAATTCCATTCGAGTCCATTCGATGATTATTCCATTCAATTCTATTTGGCAATTCCATTCGATTCCATTTGATAATGATTCCATTCGAGACCATTCAATGATTCCATTCAATTCATTCGATGATGATTCCATTCAATTCCATTCGATGATTCCATTCGATTCCATTTGATGATGGTTCCCTTCGATTCCATTCGATGATGATTCCATACGATTCCATTCGATGATGATTCCATGCAATTCCATTCGAAGATGACTCCATTCGGTTCCATTCGATGATGATTCCATTCAGTTCCATGCGATGATGATTCCTTTGGATTCCATTCAATGATGATTCCTTTCGACTCCATTTGATGTTGATTCTTTTCTATTCCATTCGATGATGATTCCATTTGATGCCATTCGATGATGATTCCATTCGATTCCATTCGATGATTCCATTCGATTCCATTTGATGATGGTTCCATTCGATTCCATTCGATGATGATTCCATGTGATTCCATTCGATGATGACTCCTTTCAGTTCCATTCGATGATGATTCCATTCGTTTCCATGCGATGATGATTCCTTTGGATTCCATTCAATGATGATTCCTTTAGACTCCATTTGATGTTGATTCTTTTCTATTCCATTTGATAATGATTCCATTTGATGCCATTCGATGATGATTCCATTCGATTCCATTCGATGATTCCATTCAATTCCATTCGATGATGATTCCATTCGAGTCCATTCAATGATTCCATGTGATTCCTTTTGATGATTATTCCATTCGTGTCCATTCGGTGATTCCTTTTGATTTCAACTGAAGATGATTCCATTCGATTCCATTCAATGATGAATCCATTCGATTTCACACGATGATTCCATTCAATTCCATTCTATGATGATTCCATTCGAGTCCATTTGATGATTCCATTTGACTCCATTTGATGATGATTCCATTCATTGATTCCATTCGATTCTATTCGATGATGATTCCATTCAGTATCATTTGATGCTGATTCCATTCAATTCCATTCGATTATTCCATTTGATTCCACTCGATGATTCCATTCGATTACATTTGAGGATGATTCCACTCTATTCCATTCGATGATTCCATTCAATTCTATTCGATGATGATTCCTTTCGATTCCATTCGATGACGACTGCATTCGATTCCATTTGATGATAATGGTTGATTCCATTCAATGATGTTTGCGATCAATTACGTTCGATTATTCCATTCGATTCCATTCGATGATTCCATTTTATTCAATTCGATAATGATTCGATTCAAGTCCATTCGATGATTCCATTCAAGCCCATTCGATGATTCCATTCAAGCCCATTCAATAATTCCTTTTGAGTCCAATCCATGATTCAATTCGAGTCCATTCGATCATTCCATTTGAGTCCATTTGATGATGATTCCATTCGAGTCCATTCGATAATTCTTTTTGAGTCCATTCAATGATGATTCCATTCGAGTCCATTTGATGATTCCATTCAATTCCGTTAGATGATAATTCCATTCGAGTCCACTCGATGATTCCATTTGATTTCATTTGATGATAATTCCATTCGATTCCATTGAATGATTCCATTCTATTCCATTTGATGATGATTCCATTCGAGTCCATTCAATGATTCCATTCTGGTCCATTTAATGATTCCATTGAGTTCAATACAATGATGATTACATTGGATTCCATTCTATGATTCCATTCGATTCCTTTCATTGATGATTCCATTTGATTCCATTCAATGATGATTCCATTCGATTTCATTTGATGATTATATTTGATTCCATTTGATGAAGATTCAATTCTATTATATTGGATGATTCCATTCAATTCCATTCGATGATGATTCCATTTGATTCCATTCGATGATGATTCCATTCAGTTACATTGGATGATGAATCCATTCAATTCCATTCGATGATCATTCCATTCTATTTCATTCGATGATGATTCCATTCAATTTCATTCGATGATTCCATTCGATCCCATTCGATGATGACTCCATTCTATTCCATTGGATGATTCCATTCTATTCCATTCGATGATGATCCCATTCAATTCCATTCAATGATGATTCCATTCGATTCCATTTGATGATGATTCCATACGATGATGATTCCATTTGATTCCATTCGATGATGATTCCATTCACTTGCATTCGATGATGATTTCAATTGAGTGCATTCAAATATTACATTCGATTCCAATCGATCATGACTCCATTCGTGTCCATTCGATGATTCTATTCCATTCCATTCCCATGATGATTCCATTCGATGCCATTCAATGATTCCATTTGATTCCATTCGTTGATGATTCCATTCGAGTCCATTCTCAGATTCCATTAGATTCCATTTGATGATGATTTCATTTGAGTCCATTTGATGATTCCAGTCGATTCTATTCATTGATGAGTCCATTCAAGTCCCATTCGATGATTCCATTTCATTCCATTTGATGATGATTCCACTCGAGTCCATTAGATGATTCCATTCGAGTCCATTTGATTATTCCCTTAGATAACATTCATTGATGATTCTATTCAATGCCATTCGATGATTCCATTTGGTTCCATTTGATGATATTTCCATTTGAGTCCATTCGATGATTCCATTGGATTCCATTCAATGATGATTCCATTCGTATCCTTTGAATGATTCCATTTTATTCCATTCAATGATGATTCCACTCGAGTCCGTTCAATGATTCCATTTGATTCCATTCAATGATGATTCCATTCAATGATGATTCCATTCAAATCCATTCGATGATTCCATTCGATTCCATTCGATGATTCCTTTTGATCCCATTTGATGAACCCCTTTGATTCCATTCAATGATCACTCCATTCAATTCAGTGATCCCATTGGATTCCATTCGATGATGATTCCATTAGATTCCCCTCCATGATGGTTCCATTCGGTTCCATGTGATGATGATTGCATTAGATTCCATTCGATTATTCCATGTGATTCCATTTGTTGATGATTCCATTTGATTCCATTTGATGATGATTCCATTCGATTCCATTCGATGATATTTCCACTTGATTTCATTCGATGATTCTATTTGATTCCATTCGATGATGAGTCCATTCTATTCCACTTGATGATTCCATTCAATTCCATTCTATGATGATTCTATTCGACTCCATTTGATGATGATTCCATTTGATTCCATTCGATGATGATTCCATTCGTGTCCATTTGATGATTCCACTCAATTCTATTCGAAGATGACTGCAAACGAGTCCGTTAGATGATTCCATTTGATTCCATTGGATGATGATTCCTTTTGATGCCATTCAATGATTCCCTTCAATTTCATTTGATGATGATTCCATTCGATTCCATTTGATGATTCCATTCGGTGATGATACCATTCGATGCCATTCGATGATTCCATTCGATTCCGTTCGATGATTCCATTCAATTCCATTCAATGATGATTCTATTCGAGTCCCTTCAATGCTTGCATTCGATTCCATTCAATGATGATTTCATTTGAGTCCATTCGATGATTCCATTCGATTTCATTCGATGATGATTCCATTCGATTCCATTCAATGGTGATTCCATTCGAGTCCATTTGATGATTCCATTTGATTCCATTCGATGATGATTCCATTCGATGTCATTCAATGATTCTATTCGATTGCATTCAATGATGGTTCCATTCGAGTCCATTCAATGATTCCATTCAAGTCCATTTGATGATTCCTTTCAATTCCATTCGATGATGATTCCATTCGAGTCCATTCAATGATTCCATTCGATTCCATTCGATGATGATTCCATTCGAGTCCGTTCGATGCTTCCATTTGATTTCATTCGATGATGATTCCATTCGATTGCATTTTATGATTCCATTCTATTCCAATCGATGATGATTCCATTCGCGTCCATTTAATGATTCCATTGGGTTAAATTCGATGATGATTACATTGGATTCCATTCTATGATTCCATTCGACTCCATTCGTTGATGATTCCGTTCGACTCCACTCGATGATGATTCCATTCGATTACATTCAATGATTCTATTCGATTCCATTCAATGATGATTCCATTCTATTCAATTCGATGATTCCATTAGATTCCACTCACTGATGATTACATTCAATTTCATTCAATGATTCTATTTGATTCCATTCGATGATGATCCCATTCTATTCAATTCTATGATTCCATTCGATTGCATTCGGTGATGATTCCATTCGATTGCATTCGATGATAATTCCATTTGGGTCCATTCAAAGATTCCTTTCGATTACATTCCATGACGATTCCGTTCGAGTCCATTCGATGATTCCATTCAACTCCATTCAATGATGATTCCATTCGATGCTATTCTATGATTCCATTTGATTTCATTTGATTATGATTCCATTCAACTCCATTCGATGATTCTATTCCAGTTCATTCGATTATTCCATTAGAATGCATTCGATGATGATTTCATTCAAATTCATTTGATGATTCCATTCGATTCCATTCAATGAGGATACTATTCGAGTCCATTCGATGATGACTGTATTCAATTCCATTCGATGATTCCATCTTACTCCATTTGATGAAGATTCCGATCGATTCCATTCTATGATTCCATTCAATTCCATTTGATTATTCCATTTCATTCCATTCCATAATGATTCCATTCGAGTCCATTCGATGATTCCATTTGAGCCTATTCGATAATTCCATTTGAGTCCAATCCATTATTCCATTCGAGTCCATTCGATCATTCCATTTGAGTCCATTTGATGATAATTCCATTCAAGTCCATTCGGTGATTCCATTTGACTCCATCCGATAATTCCATTTCAGTCCATTCGATGATGGCTTTTGATTCCATTCAATGACATTCCTTTTGAGTCTATTCAATGATTCCATTCGATTCTATTCGATGATGATTCCTTTCATCTCCGTTCTGTGATTCCATTTGATTTCATTCGATGATGATTCCTTTCGAGTCCATTAGATGATTCCTTTCAAATCCATTAGATCATTCCTTTCAATTCCATTTGATGATGATTCCATTCAAGTCCATACAGTGATTACATTCGATTCCATTTGATGATGATTCCATTCGATTCCATTCGATGATTCCATTCTATTCCATTCAGTGATTCCATTCGATTCCATTCGATGATGATTCCATTCCATTCCATTCGATGATTCCATTCGATTCTGTTTGATGATGATTCCATTGGAGTCCATTCGATGATTCTATTCGAATCCATTTGATGATTGCTTTTGATTATATTCGGTGATGATTCCATTCGAGTCCATTCAATGATTCCATTCGATTCCATTCGATGATAATTCCATTCGAGTCCATTTGATGATTCCATTTGATTCCATTCTCCGATGATTATATTCAAGTCCATTCGATGATTCCACTCAATTCCATACAATGATGATTCCGTTCGATTGCATTCTATGATTCCATTCTATTCCATTCAATGATGATTCCATTCGAGTACATTAGATGATTCCATTCGATTCCATTCGATGATGATTCTATTCATGCCCATTAGATGATTCCACATGATTCCATTCGATAATGATACTATTCGAGTCCATTCAATGATTCCCTTTGATTCCATTTGATGATGATTCCATTCGATTCAATTCATTGGTGATTCTATTCAATTCCATTCTTTGATTCCATTCCATTCCATTCGACAATGATTCCATTCGATTTCTTTCGATGATTCCACTCGATTCCACTTGTCATTGATTCCATTTGAGTCCATTCAATGATTCCATTTGATTCCAGTCGATGATGATTGCCTTCGATTCCATTCGATCATTCCATTTGATTCTGTTCGATGATGATTCCGTTCAATTCCATTTGATGATTCCATCTGATTCTATTCGAGGATTCCATTCAATTCCATTCGATGATAATTCCATTTGAGTCCATTCAATGATTTCATTCGAGTCCATCCAATGATTCCATTTGAGTCCATTTGATGATTCCATTCAATTCCATTTTATTATGATTCCACTAGAGTCCACTTGATGACTCCATTTGATGACTCCATTCGAGTCCATTTGATAATTCCATTCAAGTCCATTTGATGATTCTATTCGATTCCATTTGATGATTCCATTTGAGTCCATTTGATCATTACTGTTGAGTCCATTTGGTGATTCCATTTGATTTCTTTTGATAGTGATACCATTCAATTACATTTGATGATGATCCCATTCGATTTCATTCGATGATGGGTCCATTTGAGTCCATTCGATGATTCCATTTGATTCCATTCAATGATGATTCCATTCGAGTCCATTCGATGATTTCATTCGAGTTCCTTCGTTGATTCCATCCGATTTGATGTGATGATGACTCCATTCGAGTCCATTCGATGATTCCATTCGATGATTCCATTTGATTCCTTTCCATGATAATTCCGTTTGAGTCCATTGGATGAAGATTCCATTCGATTCCATTCTATGATTCCATTCGATTCCATTCGATGATTCCCTTCAATTCCTTTCCATGATGATTCCATTCCATTCCATTCGATGATTCCATTCCATTCTATTCCATGATGATTCCTTTTGTTTCCATTTGCTGATGATTCCATTCGATTCCATTCGATGATGATTCCATTCGATTCCATTCGATGATGATTCCATTTGATTCCATTCAATGATGATTCCATTCTATTACATTCAATGATTGCATTCAATTCCATTCGATGATTATTCCATTCGAATAAATTCAATGATTCCATTCAATACCATTCTATGATGATTCCTTTCACAGTGTTGAACAGTCTTTTTCTTGAATCTGCAAGTGGACATTTGGAGAGCTTTGTGGCCTGTGGTAGAAAAGGAAATATCTTCACATAAAATCTAGACAGAAGTCATCTGAGAAACTTCTTTGTGATGTGTGCATTCATCTCACAGAGTTAAAATGTTCTTTGGTTGAGGAGTTTTGAAAATCTCCTTTTGTAGAATGTGCAACTGGACCTTTGGAGCGCTTTGTGGCCTATGGTAGAAAAGGAAATATCTTCACATAAAAACTAGACAGAAGAATTATGAGAAACTTCTTTTTGGTGCATGCGTTCATCTCACAGAGTTCAACCTTTCTTTTGATTGACTGGTTTGGAAACACTCTGTCTTTTAAATCTGGAAGTGAACATTTGGAGCGTTTTGAGGCCTATGGTGGAAAAGGAAATATCTTCATATAAAAACTAGACAGAAGAATTCTGAGAAACTTCTTTGTGATGTGTGCATTCATCTCACAGAGTTGAACTTTTGTTTGGATGGGGCAGTTTGAAAACACTCTTTTTCTAGAATTTGCAAGTGGACATTTGGAGCTCTTTGCAGCCTATGGTAGAAAAAAGGAATATCTTCACATAAAATCTAGACAGAAGTAATCTGAGAAACTGCTTTGTTATGTGTGCATTCATCTAACCGAGTTGAACCTTTCTTTTGATTGAGCACTTTGGAAACACTCTTTTTGTAGAATCCGCAAGTGGACATTTGGAGCGCTTTGCAGCCTATTTTAGAAAAGGAAATATCTTCACATAAAATCCAGACAGAAGAAATCTGAGAAACTTCTTTGTAAATGTATGCATTCATCTCACAGTGTTAAACCTTTCCTTTGATTGAGAAGTTTTGAAACTCTCTTTTTGTAGAATCTGAAAGTGGACATTTGGAGTACTATGAGTCATATGGTGGAAAAGGAAATATCCTCAGATGAAATCTAGAAAGAAGCAATCTGAGAAACTTTTTTATGATGTGTGCATTCATCTCACACAGTAAAACCTTTCTTTGGATTGAGCAGTTTTGAAACTCACTTTTTGTAGCATCTGTAAGTGGACATTTGTAGGGCTTTGAGGCCTATGTTGGAAAAGGAAATATCTTCACATAAAAACAAGACAGAAGAATTCTGAGAAACGTATTTGTGATGTGTGCGTTCATCTCATAAAGTTGAACTTTTCTTTTGATTGAGCAGTTTGGAAACACTCTTTGTAAAATCTGCAGTGGACATTTGGAACGCTTTGCAGCCTATGTTAGAAGAAAGAAATATCTTCATATAAAATCTAGACAGAAGCAATCTGAGAAACTTCTTTGTGATGTGTCCTTTCATCTCACCGAGTTGAAACTTTCTTTTCATTGAGCAGTTTCGAGACCCTCTTTTTGTGGAATCGGCAAGTGGAAATTTGGAGCACTTTGTGACCTATGGTAGAACAGGAAATGTCTTCACATAAAATCTAGACAGAACCAATCTGAGAAACTTCTTTCTGCTGTGTGCATTCATCTCACACAGTTAAATCTTTCTTTTTTTGAGCAGTTTTGAAACTCTCTTTTTGTAGAATCTGCAAGTTGACATTTGGAGTGTGTTGAGGCCTACGGTGGAAAAAGAAATATCTTCACATAAAATCTAGAGAGAAGCAATCTGAGAAACTTCTATGTTGGAAAAGGAAACATCTTCACGTAACAAATAGACAGAAAAATTCTGAGAAACTTCTTTGTGATGTTTGGGTTCATCTCACAGAGTTGAACCTTCCTTTTGATTGAGCAGTTTGAAAACACTCTTTTTGTAGTATCTGGAAGTGGACATTTGGAACGCTTTGCAGCCTATGGTAGAAAAGGGAATATATTCACATAAAATATAGACAGAAGAAATCTGAGAAAATTCTTTGTAATGGGTGTATTCATTCAACAGAGCTGTACCTTTCCTTTGATGGACCAGTTTTGAAATACTCTTTTTGTGGAATCTGCATGTGGACATTTCGAGAGCCTTGAGGCCTAGCGTGGAAAATGAAATATCTTCACATAAAAGCTAAACAGAAGAATTCTGAGAAATTTCTTTGAAATGTGTGGGTTCATCTCACAGAGTTGAACCTTTCTTTTGATTGAGCAGTTTGGAAAAATTGTAGAATCTGCAAGTGGACGTGTTGTGTGCTTTGTGGCCTATAGTAAAAAAGGAAATATCTTCACATAAATTCTAGACAGAAGTAATCTGAGAAACTCCTTTGTGACGTGTGCATTCATCTCACAGCATTAAAACTTCCTTTTGATTGGAGCAGTTTTGAAACACTCTTTTTGTAGAATCTGCAAGTGGACATTTGGAGCGCTATGTGGACTATGGTGGAAAAGGAAATATTTTCACATAAAAACTAGACAGAATTCTGAGAAACTTCTTTGGGACGTGTGGATTCATCTCACAGAGTTGAACCTTTCTTTTGATTGAGCAGTTTGCAAACATTCTTTTTGTAGAATCTGCAAGTGGACATTTGGAGAACTTTGCGGCCTATGGTAGAAAAGGAAATATCTTCATATAAAATCTAGACAGAAGCAATCTGAGAAACTTATTTGTGATGTGTGCATTCATCTCACAGCGTTAGAACTTCCTTTTTATTGGAGCAGTTTTGAAACACCCTTTTTGTAGAATCTGCAAGTGGATATTTGGAGTGCTTTGAGGCCTATGGTGGAAAAGGAAATATCTTCACATTAAATCTAGACAGAAGCAATCTGAGAAACTTCTTTTTGATGTGTGCATTTATCTCACAGAGTTAAAACTTTCCTTTGAATGAGTAGTTCTGAATCTGTTTTTGTTGAATCTGAAATTGGGCATTTGGAGCTCTTTCAGGCCCTTGGGGGAAAGGAAATATCTTCACATAAAATCTAGACAGAAGAATTCTGAGAAACTTCTTTGTGATGTGTGCATTCATCTCACAGAGTTAAACCTTTCTTTTGATTGAGCAGTTTTGAAACTCTCTTTTTGTAGATTCTGCAAGTGAACATTTGGAGCAGTTTGAGACCTATCGTGGAAAAGGAAATATCTTCACATAAAAACTAGATAGAATCAATGTGAGAAACTACTTTTTGATATGTGCGTTCATCTCCTAGATTTGAGCCTTTCTTTTGATGGGCCAGTTATTTATTACTCTTTTTGTGGAATCTGCAAGTGGACATTTGAAGCCCCTTGAGGCCTGTGGTGGAAAATGAAATACATTCACATAAAAACTAGACAGAAGAAATCTGAGAAACATCTATGCAACATGTGCGTTCATCTCACAGAGTTAAACTTTTTTTGATCGAGTAGTTTGGAAACACACTTTTTGAACAATCTGCAAGTGGACATTTGAAGCTCTTTGAGAACTGTGGTGGAAAAGGAAATATCTTCACACAAAAACTAGACAGAATAATGCTGTGAAATCACTTTGTGATGCATGCGTTCATCACACAGAGTTGAAAGTTTCTTTTCAATGGGGTTTTTGGAACCACTCTTTTTGTAGAATCTACATGTAGACAATTTTAGTGCTTTGCGGCCTATGGTAGAAAACGAAATATATTCACATAAAATCTAGACAGAAGCAGTCTGGCAAACTTCTTTGTGATGTGTGCATTCATCTCACAGAGTTAAACCTTTCTTTTTATTGAGCAGTTTTGAAACTCTCTTTTTGTAGTATCTGCAAGTGGACATTTGGAGCCCCTTTAGGCCTGTGGTGGAAAAGGAAATCTCTTCACATAAAAACTAGACAGAAGAATTCTGAGAAACTTCTTTATGATGCATGCTTTCATCTCCCATAGTTGAAACTTTCTTTTGATACAGCCGGTTGGAAACAATCTTTTGTAGAATCTGAAAGTGCACATTCAGAGCGCTTTGCAGCCTATAGTAGGAAAGAAAATATCTTCACATAAAGTCTAGACAGAAGCAATCTGAGCAACTTCTTTGTGATGTGTGCATTCATCTCATGGAGTTAAACTTTTCTTTTGATTGAGCAGTCTTGAAGCTCTCTATTTGTAGAATCTGCAAGTGGATATTTGGAGCTCTTTGAGGCCAACAGTGGAAAAGGAAATATCTGCACATAAAAACTGGACAGAAGAATTCTGAGAAACTTCTTTGGGATGTGTGCATTCATCTCACAGATTTGAACCTATCGTTTGATTGAACAGTTTGGAAACACTCTTACTGTAGAATCTGCAAGTGGACATTTGGAGAACTTTGCGGCATATGGTAGAAAAGGAAATATTTTCACATAAAATCTAGACAGAAGCCATCTGAGAAACTTCTTTGTGATGTGTGCATTCATCTCACAGAGTTAAACCTTTCTTTTGATTGAATGGTTTTGAAACTCTTTTCGTAGAATCTGCAAGTGGACATTTGGAGTGCTTTGAGGCCTATACCTATGGTAGAAAAAGTAATACCTTCACATAAAATCTAGAGAGAAGCAATCGGAGAAACTTCTTAGTGATGGGTGCATTCATCTCACAGAGTTTAAACTTTCTTTTGATTCAGCAGTTTTGAAACTCTCTTTTTGTAGAATCTGCAAGTGGACATTTGGAACGCTTTGAGGCCTATGGTGGAAAAGGAAATATCTTCACATAAAAACTAGACAGAAGAATTCTGACAAACTTCTTTGTGATGTGTGCGTTCTTCTCACAGAGTGGAACCATTCTTTTGATTGAGCAGTTTGGTACCACTCTTTCTTGTAGAATCTGAAAGTGGACATTTGGAGCGCTTTGCAGTCTATGGTAGAAAAGTAAATATCTTCACATAAAATCTAGACAGAAGCAATATGAGAAACTTGTTTGTGATATATGCATTCATCTCACAGAGATAACCCTTTCTTTTGATTGAGCAGTTTTGAAACTCTTTTTGTAGAATCTGCAAGTGGACATTTAGAGCGTCTTGAGGCCTATGGTGGAACAGGAAATATCTTCACATAAAAATTAGACAGAAGAATTCTGTGAAACTTCTTTGTGATGAGTGCATTCATCTCACAGAGTTGAACGTTTCTTTTGATTGAGTAGCTTGGAAACACTCTTTTTGTAGAATCTGCAAGTGGACATTTGGAACTCTTTGTGGCCAATGGTAGAAAAGGAAATATTTTCACATTAAATCTAGACAGAAGCAATCTGAGAAACTCCTTTTTGATGCGTGCATTAATCTCATGGAGTTAAACCTTTCTTTTGATTGAGCAGATTGGAAACTCTCTTTTTGTAGAATCTGCAAGTGGACATTTGGCAGCGCTTTGAGGCCTGTCGTGGAGAAGGAAATGTCTTCACATAAAAAGTAGATAGAAGCATTCTGAGAAAGTTCTCTGTGATGTCTGCATTCATCTCCTGGAGTTCCATCTTTCTTTAGGAGAACCAGTTTTCAAATACTCTTTTTGGCTAATCTGCAAGGGGACATTTCAAGCACCTTCAGGCTTAAGTTGTAAAAGGAAATATCTTCACAAAAAAACAGATAGAAGAATTCTGAGAATCTTTTTTATGATGTGTACGTTCATCTAACAGAGTTGAACCTTTCTTTTGATTGCATAGTTTCCAAACACCGTTTTTGTAGAATCTGCAAGTGGACATTTGGAGCGCTTTGTGGCTTATGATAGAAAAGGAAATATCTTCACATAAAATCTAGAAGGAAGCAATCTGAGAAACTTCTTTGTGATGTGCGCATTCATCTCACAGAGTTGAAACTTTCTTTTGATTGAGCAGTTTTGAAACACTCTCTTCGTGGAATCTGCAAGTGGATATTTGGAGCCCTTTGAGGCCTATTGTGGAAAAGGAAATACCTTCACATAAAAACTATGCAGAAGCATTCTCAGAAACTACTTTGTGAGGTGTGCATTCAACTCACGGAGTTGAAATTATCTTCTCTTTGAGGAGTTTTCAATCTCTCTTTTTGTAGAATCTGCAAGTGGATATTTGAAGACCTTTGTGCCCTATGGTGGAAAAGGAAATATCTTGAAATAAAAGCTACACAGAAGCATTCAGAGAAACTTCTTTGTGATGTGTGCATTCAACTCACAGAGTTGAACCTATCTTTTGATTGAGCAGTTTTGAATCTCTCTTTTGCACAATCTGAAGGTGGATATTTCGAGCCCTTTGAGGTCTACAGTGGAAAAGCAAAGATCTTCACATAAAAACTATGCAGAAACATTGTGAGAAACTTCTTTGTGAGGTGTGCATTCAACTCACAGAGTTGAACTATCTTCTCATTGAGCAGTTTTGAATTTATCTTTTGGTAGAATCTCCAAGTGCATGTTTGGAGCCCTTTGCGCTCTATGGTGGAAAAGGAGATATCTCCAAATAAAAACTACACAGAAGCATTCAGAGAAACTGCTTTGTGATGTATGCATTCAACTCACAGAGTTGAACCTATCTTTTGAATCAGCAGTTTTGAATCTCTCTTTTGGCAGAATCTTCATGTAGATATTTGGAACCCTTTGACGCCTACTGTGGAAAAACAAATATCTTCACATAAAAACTACACAGAAGCATTCTGAGAAATTTCTTCATGATGTGTGCATTCATCTCACAGGGTTGAACCTAGCTTATGATTGAGCAGTTTTCACACACTCTTTTTGTAGGATCTGCAAGTGGATATTTGGAGCGCTTTGAGGCCTACAGTGGAAAACCAAATATCTTCAAATAAGAACTACACAGAAGCATTCTGAGAAACTTCTTTGTGATGTGTGCATTCATCTCACAGAGTTGAAACTTTCTTGTGATTGAGCAGTTTTCAAACACTCTTTTTGTTGAATCTGCAAGTGGATATTTGGAGCCCTCTGTGGCCTATGGTGGAAAAGGAAATATCTTCAAATAAAAACTACACAGAAGCATTCTCAGAAACTTCTTTGTGATGTATGCGTTCAACTCACAGAGTTGAACCTATCTTTTGATTGAACAGTTTTGAATCTCTCTTTTTGCAGAATCTGCAAGTAGATATTTGGAGCGCTGTGAAGCCTACTGTGGAAAAGCAAATATGTTCACATAAAAACTACAGAGAAGCTTTCTGAGAAACTTCTTTGTGATGTGTGCATTCAACTCACAGAGTTGAACCTGTCTTTCAATTGAGCAGTTTTGAATCTCTCTTTTTGCAGAATCTGCAAGTGGATGTTGGGAGAGCTTTGAGGCCTATTGTGGAAAAGGAAATAGCTTCACATAAAAACTACACAGAAGCATTCTGAGAAACTTCTTTGTGATGTGTGCATTCATCTCACAGAGTTGAACCTTTCTTTTGATTGAGCAGTTTTGAAACACTCTTTTTGTAGAATCTGCAAGTGGATATTTGGAGCCCTTTGCACCCTATGGTTGAAAAGGAAATATCCTCAATAAAAACTACACAGAAGCATTCTAAGAAACTTATTTGTGATGTGTGCATTCAACTGACTGAGTTGAATTTATCTTCTCATGTTTTGTAGAATCTGGAAGTGGATGTTTGGAGCCCTTTCACCCTATTGTGGAAAAGGAAATATCTGCAATTAAAACTACACAGAACCATTCAGAGAAACTTCTTTGTGATGGATGCATTCAACTCACAGAGGTGAACCTATCTTTTGATTGGGCAGTTTAGAATCTCTCTTTCTGAAGAAACTGCAAGTGGATATTTGGAGCCCTTTGCACTCTGTGTTGGAAAAGGAAATATCTTTAAATAAAAACAACACAGAAGTATTCAGAGAAACTTCTTTGTGCTGTGTGCATTAAACTCAGAGAGTTGAAACTTCCTTTTGGTAGAGCAGTTTTGAAACACTCTTTTTGTAGAATCTGCAGGTGTATATTTGGAGCACTTTGAGGCCTACGGTAGAAAAGGATATATTTTCATATAGAAACTAGATAGAAGCATTCACAGAAACTATTTTGTGATGTGTGCATTCAACTCCAAGAGTTGAACATTCCTTTAGACAGAGCAGTTTTGCAACACTATTTTTGTAGAATCTGCAAGTGGATATTTGGACTGCTTTGAGGCCTATATTGGAAAAGGAAATATCTTCACACAAAAACTAGACAGAAGCATTCTCAGAAACTTCTTTGTGATTTGTGCATTCAACTCACCGAGTTCACCATTCCTCTTGACAGAACAGTTTTGAAAAACACTTTTTGTAGAATCTGCAATTGGATATTTGGAGTGCTTTGAGGCCTTTGGTGGAAACGGGAATACCTTCACATAAACACTAGACAGAAGCATTCTCAGAAACTTCTTTGTGATGTGTGCATTCAATTCACAGAGTTGAACCTTCTTTTTGATAGAGCAGTTTTGAGGCACTGTTTTTGTATAATCTGCAAGTGGACATTTGGAACGCACTGAGGCCTATGGTGGAAATGGAAATAATTTTACATAAAAACTAGCCAGAAGCATTCCCAAAAACTTCTTTGTGATGTGTGCATTCAACTCAGAGAGTTGAAACTTTCTTTTTATAGAGCAGGTTTGAAACACTCTTTTTGTAGAATCTGCAAGTGGACATTTGCAGCGCTTGGAGGCCAATGGTGGAAAAGGAAATAACTTCACATAAAAACTAGACAGAAGCATTCTCAGAAAATTCTTTGCAGTGGTTGCATTCAACACACAGAGTTGAACATACCTTGTCCTAGAGCAGTTTTGAAACACTCTTTTTGTAGAATCTGCAAGTGGATATTTGGACCGCTTTGAGGCTTTCGTTGGAAACGGGAATATCTTCACATAAACAGGAGACAGAAGGATTCTCAGACTCTCCTTGTAATGTGTGCATTCAACTCACAGAGTTTAACCTTTCTTTTGATAGAGCAGGTTTGAAACACTCTTTTTGTAGGATCTGCAATTCAACATTTTGAGAGCTTTGAAGCCTACGGTTCAAAAGGAAATATCATCACATAAAAAATAGACAGAAGCATTCTCAGAAACTACATTGTGATGTTTGCATTCAACACACAGAGTTGAACATAACTTTTAATGGAGCAGTTTTGAAACACTCTTTATGTAGAAGCTGCAAGTTGATATTTGGATAGCTTTCAGGACTTCATTGGAAAGGGAATATCTTCACATAAAAACTAGACAGAAGCATTCTCAGAAACTAGTTTGTGAGGTTTGCATTCAACTCACAGAGTTGAACATACTTTATCATAGAGCAGTTTTGAAACACTCTTGTGGTAGAAGCTGAAAGTGGATATTTGGACCGCTTTGAGGTCTTCGTTGGAAACGGGACTATCTTCACATAATCACTAGAGAGATGCTTTCTCAAAAACTTCTTTGTGCTGAGTGCATTCAACTCACAGAGTTAACCTTATGTCATAGAGCAGGTATGAAACACTCTTTTTGTAGAATCTGCAACTCGACAATTGGAACGCTTTGAGGCCTGTGGTGGAATAGGAAATATCTTCACATAAAAACTAGAAAGAACCATTCTCAGAAACATCTTTGTGATGTTTGCATTCAACTCACAGAGTTGAAAATCCCTTTTCATAGAGCAGTCTTGAAACACTCATTTTGTAGACTCTACAAGTGGATATTTGGACCCCTTTGAGGCCTTCATTTTAAAAGCGAATATCTTCATATAAAAAGTAGACAGAAGCATTCTCAGAAACTTCTTTGTGATGTGTGCATTCAACTTACCGAGTTGAACATACTTTATCATAGAGCAGTTTCGAAGCACTCTTTTAGTAGAATCTGCAAGTGGATATTTGGACCGCTTTGAGGACTTCATTGGAAACGGGAATATCTTCACGTAAAAACTAGACAGAAGTATTCTCAGAAACTACTTTGTGATGTGTGCATTCAACTCACAGAGTTGAACCTTCCTTTTCATAGAGCAGGGTTAAAACATTCTTTTTGCAGGACCTGCAAGTGGACATTTGGAGCTCTTTGAGGCCTATGGTGGAAAAGGATATATCTTCACGTAAAAACTAGACAGAAGTATTCTCATAAACTTATTTGTGATGTGTGCATTCAACTCACAGAGTTGAACCTTTCTTTTGATAGAGCAGGTTTGAAACATTCATTTTGTAGAATCTGAAGTGGACATTTGGAGAGCTTTGAGGCCTATCGTGGAAAAGGAAGTATCTTCACATAAAAACTAGAGAGAAGCGTTCTCAGAAACTTCTTTGTGATGTGTGCATTCAACTCACAGAGTTGAACCTCTCTTTTCATTGAGCAGGTTTGAAACACTCTTTTTGTAGAATCTGCAAGTGGACATTTGGAGAGCTTTGAGGCCTATGGTGGAAAAGGAAATATCTTCACACAAAAAATAGACAGAAGCATTCTCAGAAACGTCTTTGTGATGTTTGCATTCAACTCACAGAGTTGAAGATACCTTTCCATGGAGCAGTTTTCAGACACTCTTTTTGTAGAATCTGCAGGTGGATATTTGGACCGCAATGAGGCCTTCATTGGAAACGGGAATATCTTCACATAAACACTAGACAGAAGCATTCTCAAAAACTTCTTTGTCATGCCTCCATTGAACTCAAAGAGTTGAACCTTTCTTTTGATAGAGCAGCTTTGAAACACTCTTTTTGTAGAATCTGCAAGTTGACATTTGGAGAGCTTTGAGGCCTATGGTGGAAAGGTTATATCTTCATATAAAAATTAGACAGAAGAATTTTCAGAAACTTCTTTGCAATGTTTGCATTCAACTCAGAGTTGAAGATACCTTTTCATACAGCAGTTCTGAAACACTCTTTTTGTAGATTATGCAAGTGGATATTTGGAACGCTTTGAGGCCTTCGTTGGAAACAGGAATATGTTCACACAAAAACAGGCAGAAGCATTCTCAGAAACTTCTTTGTGATGTGTGCATTCACCTCAAAGAGTTGAAACTTTCTTTTGATAGAGAATGTTTGAAACACTCTTTTTGTCGAATCTGCAAGTGGACATTTGGAGAGCATTGAGGCCTGTGGTGGAAAAGTAAATATCTTCACATAAAAACTAGAGAGAAGCATTCTCAGAAACTTCTTTGTGATGTGTGCATTCTACTCACAGAGTTGAACCTTTCTTTTGATAGAGCAGTTTTGAAACACTCTTTTTGTAGAGTCTGGAAGTGTATATTTGGACCGCTTGGAGGCCTTCATTGGAAACCGGAATATCTTCACATAAATACTAGATAGAAGCATTCTCCAAAACTTCTTTGTGATGTGTGCATTGAACTCACAGAGTTGAATCTTTTTTTTTTGATAGAGCAGGTTTGAAACACTCCTTTTGTAGACTCGGCACCGGACATATTTAGACCTATGAGGCCTATGGTGGAAAAGGAAATATCTTTAAATAAAAACCAGACAGAA